>NC_000001.11:229668970-229820485 GCF_000001405.40 Homo sapiens
TAATGATTGGCTCCGGTGTGGTCCTGCACCTTGAACAAGATAGTGGACTTTAAAGGGCTTCATCAGATGCCAGCCCAGAAGGTGTCCAGTGGGTAAGAATGTCCCCCCTGATGCCATCCCTTCATCTGGTTCCCAGTGGGGAATATGATGAAGTGGCTGCTACCCAGGAGCTCATGGCCATTCTGCTTAGTTCCAGTATACACGAGCTCTCTGGGGATGGCACCTCTCACTCTGCCATGCAGTGGTGAGAAGTAACTATTCTGGAATTGTCTTATCTCAGCCCTACATACTATTTTCAGTGTCTGTGTTTCATTTTTCTTCTAGAACATGCCTCCCAGAGTTGTTGAAATAATTAAGCTAGGTGCTATATGAAGAGAACTTAGTGTGTGGCACATAAACAATAAGGGTTCAATAAATAGTGGCTGTCATCATCCTCGTCATTCTATAGCCAATGAGAGAAGTGAGTTGAAATAAAACCTGGCTTAAGAGCCAGTTATATTTGAAATTATTAGTGTTGGCTCGTTGCCTGTGGGTGTCTGGAGAAAACCATTGGTTCCAGTTCCTGGAAACAGACCAAGCCAGTGCAAAGGTTTCTTGATGTAAGAACACAGTGAATCTGGTCCTGCAAGTAGGCAGATGCCCTGGACTACCATTATGGTATGTGGCCTTGTCATCTGGGGTCTTGAATTAGGGTTTTCATCTCTCTGGGTTCACCTCGCACGCTGCTTGGTCTTTAGAATAAAGATTGAGGTTATCAAGACCTAGAAAAATGACTTTTCTGAACTTGAAATATTTCCTTTGAATGCTCAGGAGTCAATATACTTTTGTTATTCAGAACACGGATTCCAAGTTAGATATACTCAATTTGAATCTCACCTGTCATTGATAGAATTATCCGTGTAACTTTGTGAAAACCACCTAACTTCCCTGTACCTTAGTTTCATTGTCAGGAAAAACTATGGTAATAATTATAACTACCTTGTATTGTTGTTTCAAGGATTAAATTTGAAATGCACAAAAATCCTTTAGTACAGTCCCAGGTAGAGAATAAGTGCTGTTATTATTATTTTAAAAATTTTGTCCCCAACTTTTTATTGTGAAAATTTCAAAATTATAGAGGTTGAAAAAATAGTGCAATAAACATCCATATACTCTACTTATATTAAAAAATTGTTACTATTTGACATATTTGCTTAATTTCTCTCTCTACACACACACACACACACACACACACACACACACTATATGTTTTGCTAATGCAGTGTGAAAAGAAGTTGCCAACATTATATTTCACTCCTAAAAACTTCATCCTGCTCCCAGTAAAAAGTACATTCTCTTGTATCCCATAATGCCCATCTCTTACCTAAGAAAAATCAAATTCCATAAAACCCTCTATTGTCCAGTCTATAGTCAATATTTTTTCACTTGTTCCAAAAATATTTGCATGGTGCCAAAGAATTACCCCAAGGATTACTTGCTGAGTATGATTAGGGAGGAAAGTATCTTTATTATAGAAATATCGGTCCATGTTAACAATAATAAGTAGTGGTCTGCGGCAGTGTAACATGAAGTGCATACTACCATCTAAGATGTATCACTGCCAAAAATTTTACCTGTCATCTAATCAAGCCTGTAGACCTGCACTGTTCAATATGGTAGCCGCTAGCCATGTGTGGCCATTCAGTGTTGAAATGTAGCTAGTCCAAATTGAGATGTGCTGTAGGCATGTATTATCTATGTTGTAAAGACTCAGGATGAAGAAATAATGTGAAATCTCTCATTGATTATTTATTTATTTATTTTGAGATGGACTTTCACTCTTTCGCCCAGGCTGGAATGAAGTGGTGCCATCTTGACTCACTTCAACCTCCACCCCCCTGGATTCAAGTGATTCTCCTGCCTCAGCCTCCCAAGTAGCTGGGATTACAGGACCACACCACCATGCCCAGCTAATTTTTGTATTTTTAGTAGAGACGGGGTTTCACCATGTTGGCCAGGCTGGTTTCGAACTCCTGACCTCGGGTGATCCACCTGCCTCGGCCTCCCAAAGTGCTAGGATTACAGGTGTGAGCCACCGCACCCAGCCTCTCACTGATAATTTGAAAACATTGTGTTGAAATCAGCATTTTGTGAGTTAATAATTATTAAAATTAGCTTTACCTATTTTACATTTTTTAAAACGTGGCTACTGGGTAATTTAAAATTATGTATGTGGTTCACAGATTTTTTTTTTTTTTTTTTTTGACACAAGGTCTTGCTCTGTCACCTGGGCTGAAGTGCATTGATGTGATCCTGGATCAAGGGATCCTCCCATCTCAGCCTCCTGAGTATCTGGGACTACAGGCGCATGCCACCACAGCTGGCTAATTTTTTTTTTTTTTTTTGCTTTGTAGAGATGTGGTTTTGCCGTATTGCTTAGGCTGGTCTTGAACTCCTGGGCTTAAGCAATCCACCCACCTCAGCCTCCCTAAGTGCTGGGATTACAGGTGTGAGCCACTGCGCCGGGCTGGTTTACAGATTTCTACTGCACAGCACTGCTGTAGACCTAACTTTGAGAAAGTCAGGGGGTGGAGGAACAAGGCAAATGATATCACAAGGAAACAATCAGATAAAACCAGAATGTGGGGCATGTTTGAAACTCTTCAAAACGTCAGTGTCATGAAAGAAAGGAAAAGGTGAAAGGGTTATTTTAGATTAAGAGATTATGAGATAAAACCAACAATATTTAAACCTTAATTGGAATGTTCCCCTCTCCACCATCACTCATTCAAAAGCCATAAGAAATGTTCTTAGAAGCTGTTATTATTAAAGATAAGCAAGAACTAGATGGTGAAAGTTAGGTTGTGCACTTCAATGAGGACATTCCAGGCAGCTCAAGAGAGGGTTGTTAGTAGGTTCTTCTGGAGGTTTTGATTGGAAAGTGCGTTGTTGATGTCTTAAAGTGTCAAGGTTGGCGTGATTCTAGGTAGTCAGACAAGATCTATTCTGCCCACTTGGGACAGAGTGGCGCAGGAGAAGGACATTTATGTTGAGACATCACAGAGCTTGGAGACAGGGTTTGGTAGGTTGTCTCTGTGGACACTGAAGTTGGTCTCAAAGGTCAGAAGTTGTTTATAACAGAATCAGTGATGATAAAATACATAATGGAATTTAGGAAAAACCCCGACCTTAGCTACTATTCTCTTTGTCGTCTTTGCCATTGGTTCATTAAGCTTGAGTTGCTCTCCGTAGCTGTAGGCAATAAAGAATGTTTTGGCACAGAAAAAGAAAAGAAGAGAAGAGAAGAGAAAAGAAAAGAAAAGCTTGCCTTTTGGAGTTTCTAATGTGGACACAATCCTACTGGAATCAAAATCTCCACCACTGAGCCTGGAAGCCAGAGGCTGATGATGCTGTACACGTCTCTGCAGGATTTGCAGGTGTTTCATTTTTATTTGCTACCTCTTTGAAACAGCTCACTTTCTCAGAGCTTTGAAATTGTTTCTGCTCTATTTCATTTTAGAAACATCTGAAAACCTACCGACAGAGATGAGTTTTATGCCAGCTCTGGGCTTTTCTCCATCCAAATTACACATTTATTGAGAATAGCTATGTTTATAATTTCCACAGAACATGAAAAGATCATTTAAGAAAATTGATAGGCAGGGTGCTGTACACCTTTTATTATATTTGCAATGTATTTCTGACTTGAGTTTTTGGTAAGGTTTCAATATTTTATTTTCAAGGTATCGTGTTGGCATGAGATCTGTTTCTTTTTTCTCCCCTGGTCAATGAATCTTAAATCAGATGTTAAATCAGAAATACTGGAATGGTCCTATTTTTCAGTGCTGGGGAAAAGGCATTTGGGAATTCCTATGTGTATTTGCCCTAAGAGTTTCTGTGATTCTTGGTGATGTCAGTAGTGCTTCCTATCCCAAAGGGATGCTGCTGTATGAACATGTTCTGCCTCTACAGTGCAGCTTCCGGTGGGAAATCATGCTGGTGTAAACATGTGTTTTCAGGCTATGAGGTTGCAAAGTATCAGAATAACCTTCTGTTGCTCTAAGACATACCTGCAATAGAAACCACTTAGAGGGAAGCTAGCTGGCTGCATGCACAGGCAGGGCTTACAGTGTGGCAGGCCCCTGATTCAGAGTCCCTATGTCCTGGGGACTCGGTTAAGCTTATTAGCAGCTTTAGAAACTTCACTATATCAGTAAATCAGCATCAACTAGATACTTAGAGCTAACTTACAATATCATGATAACCAAATAAAAAGAGTTTTCACCATGGACAAGATTCATCAACAGTGACTGCGCTATTTAAGCTCTTAACTAAGGCACGAGCTCTACCTGGTTTCAGAATCCTCGGGAAGCTGGATTCGTCATCTGGAGGGTTGCTTGCAGAGGATGACATTATGTGAAAGGAGCTGCATTATTCTAAAGGGTATTTCATGTTGGCCTTTCCACCAAGATTAGGTTCATTTTCTCAAATGTGCTACCTGCAGCTCTCTTCTTCCTTCAAAACCATGTCAACATGAAACACAATGAAAGATATATAAATCGCAAATGGCAAAAAACCATTCACAAGCTTCAATATTTTAACTTTTATTGGTGCCAGATTACCTGGAAAACACCTTACAAATGATCCCAACATACCTGTGACCAATTCTACACACTGTCCCTGGATCTGTCCTCCTCTTCTTCCAGTATATTGAAGTTTAAGCCAGGCACATGGCTACCAAACATAAAGACTAGATATCCTAGTCTACCTTGCAGCTACATGGTCATGTGGCCAGTGGGATGTGAGGTGAAGTAATGCACACACCTTTGGGGTCATTCCTTCAAAAGTAAGGGAAATACATTGTCCTTCCTGCTTTCTGGAGTTCAGCCACCTTGGATCATACAGACGAGGCAAATGCTTGGGGGACGGTCGATGACCAGGGAGAAGGAGCCTGGGTCCCATGCCTTGAGTGCCATGCCTGCTGAGGCAGAGACATTGATTATAGTTTGCTAAACACCTTCGAGTTCCCTGACTCCCCTCCAGGAGTCAGGCAGAACTATGTTCAACTGTGACATATGATCGCTTCTGGGCTGGAGCACACACAACTCTCCAGCCTGATCCTCTCCTCTGAGACAGGTGGGGATGATGGAGATGCAGATGTAGGTAACAGCTCCACATGGCACCCTGATGATCTCGCACCATCTATATTGACCACCTAGGCACTGGCTTGCCCTGCAGTGAATCTGAGTCTTGCCAGAATGCCTCACGGCCCTCTCAGAACACAGGAAGTTGGCAGGCTTGCGTGAGCTGCTCTGAGCCCCCGCCCACAGCCTCCCTCTCCCCCTGCTCAGCTGTTACACCGTTTCCCATTGCCTCCTGGTTCTGAGGAGGTGTGGGGCTTTGTGCACCATCTCTCTCAGAATAAAGCTGCAGACTATAAAATCACATGGTTAGAGGTGGGAATTAGCTCCTCTGCAATGGGGTGTCCTACAACTCATGTTGTATTCACTGGGCCTCTTGTTTCAGAGTCATCCTTTTAGTGTGTGGGACAAGGACTTCTGGAATGGGCACCTTTGTGTTTCCTTTCACGGCCTATGTACGTAGTAAACTGTCACAATCAAAAAGGGGCTTCTTGTCGCTTTCCTGGCTGAATTTACTAGGGGTTGGGCTGTGCCTCCAAGCCTTGTGCTTGAGAAAAAGGCAGAATCAGGCCGGGTGCCGTGGCTCACGCCTGGAATCCCAGCACTTTGGGAGGCCGAGGCGGGCGGATCACGAGGTCAGGAGATCGAGACCATCCTGGCTAACACGGTGAAACCCTGTCTCTACTAAACATACAAAAAAATTAGCTGGGCATGGTGGCGGGCGCCTGTAGTCCCAGCTACTCGGGAGGCTGAGGCAGGAGAATAGCGTGAACCCGGGAGGCGGAGCTTGCCGTGAGCCCAGATCACGCCACTGCACTCCAGCCTGGGCGACAGAGCGAGACTCCGTCTCAAAAAAAAAAAAAAAAAAAAAAAAAAAAAAGGCAGAATCATTGTGGATCCTTGCACCACTATTGAATGAGCTTCCCAGAGGAGCAGTCAGATCCACAGCAGCCATTGGCATGAGCAGGAGAAGAACCAAAAAGTGTTTCGTTGTTAAGCCACTGAGATTTCAGCATTGTTTTTCAGGCAACATAGCTTAACTTAACCCGAAGAGCACATTGGCTTTTTGTGGAGTAACTTCATGGAGCAGAGCCACCATATTATTCTAGACATGCACACAGGAGAGAAATACAATTCTACCTGTTTAGGCCACTGTTAGTATTATGTTTTTAATCACAACCAACTGGTTCTGTATCCTAATGACCTCCCATGAGTCTTGATATCTCATTTGAGAACTATTCAATAGCAAGTGCTCAATAACTGTTTGTTAATGGAACCAAGGCACAGTAAAGTGGAATGACCTATCTCTCTTTTAAAATAGAGTATATCATTCTGGTGGCCACAGCCCTCTGCCAGATTTCATAATTTTCTCCTGAATCATGCTGGATTAGCATGGGCAAGTTCTTTGATACATGAATAAATGATCAAATAAATCTCTGTTCATCCACTCATCCCTCCATCCCTCTTTCCCTTCACACTTCTCTCCATCCACCCACCCAACCATCCATCCATCCATCCATCCATCCATCCACCCACACACCCACTCACTCACCCACCCATCCATCCATCCATCCATCCATCCAAACAGGAAAAAAAATATATCTGCCTTCATGGAGCTTATCTTTTTACTAGTAAAGGAGCCAGGGGAATAAAAAATTTTAATTTCTTATTCCCTATTCCCCAGGACTCTATTCCATTAGATATAGTTTCTAACAACATGTGAAAAATTAGGCTTTTATTTTCTTGGTGGCAATCATGTTTGTATCATGACTCACTGATACTATACCCCATATCTGATTATACTCAGGAGCCCTAAGTTTCCTCATTTTCATATACATAGATAATCTTTTACATTATTTTTATAGATAGCTATCATCTTTTCGTATGCCCTGCTAGCTGAGTTTTATTCCCAGGGGTTAACCTTATTTCCCAGTTTTGGGGACATTTTACTTCTGTGTCTAAATGACATATCTTACAGAAAATTCACTCATTTATTTAACAAATACTTCTAGAGCAGCAATTATGCACCATACTGTTATAGGTGCCAGGGGTATAGTAGTGAAGCAAATAGACAGGTCTGCCCTCATGGAGCTTATATTCTAGTGATGCCATGAAGATTAATGTGCCATCCAGCTATAATTACAAAGGTATCATGTGAATGAGGCTATAAGGAAAGTATTTTGACCAAATTATTTTAATGCTAGTTAAAAGTGAATTTAAGGAATTTGCCTAAAATCGGCATCATAATTTTTTTTTTTTTTTTTGATGGAGTCTCACTCTGTCGCCCAGGCTGGAGTGCAGTGGTATGATCTTGGTTCACTGCAACCTCTGCCTTCCAGGTTCAAGTGATTCTCCTGTCTCAGCTTCCCAAGTAGCTGGGATTACAGGCACCTGCCACTGCACCTGGCTAATTTTATTTTTAGTAGAGACGGGGTTTCACGAAATATCTTGGCCTGGCTGGTCTTGAACTCCTGACCTCATGATCCACCCATCTCGGCCTCCCAAAGTGCTGGGATTACAGGCGCGAGCCATCACGCCTGGCCAAATCAGCATCATAATTTAAACATAAATATATAATTTCTTTACCATATACAACAGCAGTAAAAATGTTGCTTAAAAAGTTGGTACAGGTTCACATTTTTCTTCAGTGAACTTTTTCTGGTTTCTGTAATTAGTCCTATTAAGACGTCAGCCCATTGTCCCTAATTATCATTTCCTTTCTCATTAAGATTTGCACTCAATATATTTCACTTTTGCGGAGTCCTTGGATCTTAGCTACCAGTAATTTCAGTCTATATTATGCAAACCATTTCATGAACCAAAATGATTGTAGATGATTCTCAAATGAATTTAATAGTTTTGCTTTTATGTTGAAACCCAGGAATATCTTTTGATGAGCCAAATTGTGACTTTTTAACTTTATGGTGGTAGGCATATTAGTTATTTCTGACTTAAATAGAAACATCTGAATATTTTGTTCTATATTTCAAGCTGCATGATGAATATTACCTGGCTGACATTTCAAGTAATATTTTATTTGACAACTTCATATATTTTGATGTATGTTCTACTAATACTTCTTTCTCACCAATCCCACTTTATTCCAAATTCTTTTTATTCTTACTGCTTTTTTTCAATACCTAATAAAAATCTTCATTTATAAGGCATTTTATTTCCATTATAAGAAAAGAGAAGAACATCTTTCAAACCACAATGCTGTATTGCATAATCAAAGCTATAGTTTAAAGGGAGCTGTCTCATTTGCTTTTATTTGTAATATGATTGCAAGTCCTGGTCATTATTTATGAGATTAAAATTTCTATTTACAAGTAAACAGTAAGAGTCACTCCTCTTTATATTTTGAAAACAACAGAAGGAACACAAAATAGCATTGGCATATGGATTCTCATTTTACATATTTCTCTTAAAATTGGTTAGAATAGGTTAGAATTTTGCTTATTGACATTTAAAAATAATATTTATGAGATAATATTGATTCGTGTTGATCAAAACCAAATTATAACATTTAGGTAGGATGACCCCATCCAAGTAAATCTTTATTAGTTCCTTAAGTTTAACCTCTATCTCTCTCTGGGGCTTTGTTTTTGTTTTTGTTTTTTTTGAGGCTAGGTCTGGCTCTGTCATCCAGGCTGGAGTACAGTGTGCAACCTCTGCACTCCCAGGCTCAACCCATCCTCCTACTGCAGTCTCCCAAGTAGCTGGAACTACAGGTAGGCACCACCATGCCCTGCTCATTTTAGTATTTTTCATAGAGACGAGGTTTCACCATGTTGCCCAGGCTGGTCTCGAACTCCTGAGCTCAAGCAATCCACCTGCCCCAACCTCCCAAAGTGCTGGGATTACAGGCGTAAGCCACTGCACCCGGCCTGGGGCTCTGTTTTTAATCAGCAACATAGACTACCTGCACTCCAGGTTTTATCTCAGAAATCACAACCATGGCTTTCTGTATAATTCTTATTAAAATATGTATGGTAAGTTCCCTGAAGAAAATACAATCCATTTTTTTCTTACACAGACACACACACACACACACAGACACACATACACACACATACATACAACCTTGGTTCAAACCAGTTCTCCAGAGAGCTGTGAATGAGACGACGTTGGTTTGGCCTCATATGGAACTTCCTAAACTCACATTATTTGACTTTATACTGACTGTGATTAAGTGGGTGAATTGCAAATGCATGAGTATAAAACTCGTCATGGTATTTTTTTGTAAAGATGCTGTCAAGGACATTATCTATGACACCACATACTATTCTCTTTATAAAGACTCATGGGGTACTGAGAGTTATCAAAAAAATTGGGGCCATCCTAAACTTCTATTAATCTTAACGATATCACAACTTTTACAAATCATTTTCTTCCTTTTTTTGCATTGGCCACTAGGAATCTTTAATTTTTTTGTTATATTCTTGGCTTCCAATCAAGACATTATGAGGTATGATTCTAGAGGATAATCAGACTGTAATTTCTTTTTTTGGGGGCGGGGTTGGGGGGCAGGGATGGAGTCTTGCTCTGTCGCCCAGGCTGGAGTGCAGTGGTGCGATCTCAGCTCACCGCAACCTCTGCCTCCTGGGTTCAAGCGATTCTCCTGTCTCAGCCTCCCAAGTAGCTGGGATTATAGGCATGTGCCACCACGCCTGGCTAATGTTTGTATTTTTAGTAGAGACTAAAATGGGGTTTCTCCATGTTGGCCAGGCTGGTTTCGAACTCCTGACCTCAGGTGATCCACCTGCCTCGCCTTCCAAAGTGCTGGGATTACAGGTGTGAGCCACCACGCCTGACCCAGACTGTAATTTCTTAACCATGTTTTTTCTTCATCTTGACTTCTCAACTATGTAGCCTAACACTTCAGAGCTTAAGGCTGTGGGCTCAGACCTAACTACTCTAGCTTTGTCATTTACTACATATATCACTTTGTGAAAATTACTAAAAGCTTGCCTGCCTGCCTGCCTGCCTGCCTGCCTGCCTGCCTGCCTTCCTTCCTTCCTTCCTTCCTTCCTTCCTTCCTTCCTTCCTTCCTTCCTTTCTCCCTCCCTCCCTTCCTTTTTTCCTTCCTCCCTCACTCCCTCCCTCCTTTCTTCTTTCTTTTCTCTCTCTCTCTTTAGCTCTTTCTTTGTTTGACAAAGTCTCGCTTTGTTGCCCAGGCTGGAGTACAGTGGCGTGATCTTGGCTCACTGCAACCTCTGCCTTCTGGGTTCAAATGATTCTCCTGCCTCAGCCTCCAGAGTAGCTGGGATTACAGGTGTGTGCCACCACACCCAGCTCATTTTTATATTTTTTATTAGAGACGGGGTTTCACCATATTGGCAAGGCTGGTCTTGAACTCCTGGCCTTAAGTGATCTGCCTGCCTCAGACTCCCAAAGTACTGGGATTACAGGTGTGAGCCACCACGCCCAGACAGCCTTTCTAAATTCTAGTTTTTTCATCCAGAAAATGGAAATAATAATATTAGTTATTATAAAGTTATTGATGATTAAATACAATAATGTAGGTAAAAAATTTAATATATGCCTACCACATGATAAATAAGTAATTTTTGAAAATTATGTGTTTGTATGCCTCTCAGAAACCTTATAAAAACAAGGTATTCTATCAGCAAACAAATGAAGACTTTTATGACCTTTTCTCTTTTCATACTTGCTCAGACTAGCAAAATATTTTTCTGCCCAAAGAGTGGCAATGATGAGTAGAAGAAAGAGCACGGGCTTTGGAATTGGATAGAGGTGGTGTCAGAGCTCAATCTATAAATTATTAGCCGTGTGAATTTCAACTGTGCATCCTTCTGGCTCCATCTGACCAGTCCCAGGTCCTGGGTTTCCCATTTCTACCTTGCTAGAACTCTATGATGCCTGTTTCTTTCTGCTCCTACCATGTAGGTTCCAGGGCTATAATCCCAAAAGTGGAACAATAACAAGTGTTGGTAAGGATGTGGAGAACTTGGAACCTGGGTGTGTGGCTAGTGGGAAGGTAAAATGGTACCTTTAGTATGTTGTGCTACTGATTATATTCTGATGTTTCACACCCCCCTATAATAAACAACCTCTTGACTTTTCTGTTATTTCTCCTCTCAAGTCCTCAGATAGCCATGGTGGGCTCTTTGTGGCTACCTGTGCCATGTGACCCTGTCTCCTGGTCACAGCTGATTGGACCAGAAGGCAGCTAATATACATCAATTGTTGTCCTTTACTTTAGGCCACAATTGAGGAATTTAAGGGTTGATACCTGCCTTAAAATGTTCCTTCCTAGGAATTTGGAATTAAGGCAGAGAGAGAGAGTGGAGTCTAGACCAGTAACATGGAAATCACTGGCCATGTTTTCTGCCATATAGATGGGAAGAGCAGTGAAATCCAACCTGCCAAGGAGAAGGAAGCAGATGTTTTCCACAGTGACTGCACCATTTTACCTTCACACTAGCCACACACCCAGGTTCCAAGTTCTCCACACCCTTACCAACACTTGTTATTGTTCCGCTTTTGGGATTATAGCCAGCCTAATGGGAGTGAGGTGGTATCTCATTGTGGTTTTGTTTGATTTGCATTTCCTTAATGATTAGTGACACTGAGCCTCTTTTCATGTTCTTGTTGGCCATTTGTCTATCTTTTTTGGAGACATGTCTATTCAAGTCCTTTGCCCATTTTTAAATTTGTTTGTTTATGTTATTGTTATTGAGTTATCAGAGTTCTTTGTATATCCTGGACATTAACCTCTTATTAGATAAATGATTTGTAAATACTTTCTCCCATTCTATGTGTTGATGGTATGTTTTGATGCACAAAAGGTAAGTGCATCAAAATATATTACTAATAATATATAATTAGTAATTTATTAGTATAAGTAATATAAGATATATTACTTCTCTTTTGATGGTATAAATTATCTTTTGATGGTGTATTTTGATGCACAAAAGTTCTTAATTTTGATGAAGCTCAATTTACCTATTTTTTTTTTTTTATTACCTGTGCTTTTGGTATCAGGTCCGAGAAGTCATTGCCAAATCCAATGTCATGGGCTGGTGCCCTGTTTTCTTCAAAGAGTTTTATAGTTTTAGGTCTAAATTTAGGTCTTTGATCCATTTTGAGTTAATTTTTTAATATGCTGTGAGATGGGTACAATTTATTCTTTTGCATGTGGATGTGTGGTTTTCCCAACATCATTTGTTGAAGAGACTATCCTTTCCCTATTGTGTATGTTTGACGCCCTTGTCAAAGACCATTTGACCACAAACATGAGGGCTTATTTCTGGGCTCTCTATTCTATTGTAGTGTGTATACTGTCTTTTTGCCGGTACGATACTGTTTTGATTACTATAGCTTTGTAATATATATTGAAATCAAGAAGTATGAGATCTTTAGCTCTGTTTTTCTTTCTCAAGATTGGCTGTTTAGGGTACTTTGAAATTCTATATGGTTTTTCTATTTCTGAAAAAAAAACAGTTAGGACTTTATAGGGGTTTCATTGAATCTGTAGATAGCTTTGAGTGTTACTGTAATCTAAACAATACAATGTCTTCCAATCCATGAGTATGGATGTCACTGTATTTATTATTTTTAAAAAGATGCCTTCAGCAATATTTTGCAGTTTTCAGCGTACAAGTCTTTACCTCCTTGGTTAAACTTATTCCCACGTATTTTATTATTTTTTATTATATTGCAAATGAAATTGTTTTCTTAATTTCCTTTTTGGTTTGTTAAATGTAAATGTATAGAAATACAATTGATTTTTGAGTGCTGATTTTGTATCCTGCAACTTTCCTGAATTCATTTATTAGGTCTAACAGTTTTTCTTTTGAGTATCTACATATGAGATCATGTCATCTGCAAATAGGGATAATGATACTCTTCCTTTCCATTTAATGACTTTTTCTTCCCTCCCTCCCTCCCTCCCTCCCTCCCTCCCACTCTTCCATCCTTCCTTCCTCTCTCCTTCTTTCTTCTCTTCTCTTTCTCTTTCTTTCTTTTTTTCTTTCCTTCTTTACCCTCCCTCCCTCCCTCCCTCCCTCTCTCTCTCTTTCTTTCTCTTTCTTTCTTTCCTTTCCCCTTTCTTTCTCTTTCTCTCTTTCTTTCTTTCTTTCTTTCTTCCTTTCTTTCTTCCTTTCTTTCCTTTCTTCCCTTTCTTCCCTTTCTTTTTCTCTCTCTTTTTCTTTTTTCATTCTTTCTTTCCCTAGTTTCTCTGGCTAAAATTTCTACTACTGTGTTGAACAGAAGTAGTGAAAGTGGATGTCCTTGTCTTGTTCCTGATCTGAGAGAAAAACTTTTCAGTTTTTGACCATTGAGTATGATGTTAGCTGTAGGTTTTTCATATGTGGCTTTTGTTTTGTTGAAGGAGTTTCCTTTTACCCTAGTTTATTGACTGTTTTTATCATGAACAAGTGTTAAAATTTTCAACCTTTTTTCTATATCAGTTGAGATAATCATGAAGTTTCCCCCATTCATTCTTGGAATGCAGTGTGTTATATTGATTAATTTTCATATATGGAACCAACCTTGCATTCTAGGAATAAATTCCAGTTGGTGGTGTTGTATAGTCCTTTTTTGTTTGTTTTTTTGTTTTTTTCGTTTTTTGTTTTGTTTTGTTTTGTTTTTGAGACAGAGTCTTGCTCTGTTGCCAGGCTGGAGTGCAGTGGTGTGATCTTGGCTCACTGCAACCTCCACCACCTGGGTTCAAGTAATCCTCCTGCCTCAGCCTCCTGAGTAGCTGGGACTACAGATGTGTGCCACCACACCCAGCTAATTTTTTTGTATTTTTAGTATAGACAGGGTTTCACCATGTTGGCCAGGATGGTCTTGATCTCTTGACCTTGTGATCCGCCCGCCTCAGACTCCCAAAGTGCTGGGATTACAGGCCTGAGCCACCACGCCCGGCAATGTATAGTCCTTTTAATATGATGCTGAATTTAGTTTGCTAGCATTTTGATGAGAATTTTGCATCATATTCAAAAGGTTATTAGTCTGTAGTTTTATATCTTGTGATGTTTTTATCAGGGTAATGCTGGCCTCGTAGAATGAGTTAGGAAATATTAACTCCTTATCTATTTTTAAAAGTTTTTAGAAGACTTAGTGTTAATTCTTCTTTAAATGATTGGTAGAATTCACCAGTGAAGCCATTTAATTCTAGACTTTTTAAAAAATTTGAGTTACTAATTCTATCTTTATACTTGTTATAGGTTTGTTCAGAATTTCGATTTCATTTTCGGTCAGTACAGGTAATTTGCATGTTTCTAGGAATTTGTTTATTTTACCTTAGTTATCCAATTTTTTTGTGTACAATTGTTCATACTATTTTTTATAATCCTTTTTATTAAGTATTTCAGCAAAACCAATAGTAACAACCACTTTCATCTCTGATTTTTATTTCTTTGTGTCTTCTCCCATCTTTTTTTTTTTTTGTTAGTCTAGGTTATGGTTTGTCAATTTTGTGAGTATTTTAAAATAAGCAACTTTTGGGTTTATTGATTCTATTGTTTTTCTATTCTCTATTTCATTTATCTACACTCTCATCTTTATTGTTTCCTCCCTTCAGCTAGCTGTCATTTTGTTTTGCTTTTCTTTTTCTTATTCCTTAAGATGTAGGTTTAGATTATTGATTTTAGATCTTTCTTCTTTTTTAATGTAAGCATTTTCAGGTATAAAATTTCCTCTTAGTAGTGTTTTTGATGCATTGAATCAGTTTTAGTGTGTTGTGGTTTATTGTCATGTCTCAAGGTATTTCTAATTTCCTTGTGAGTTCATGTTTTATTCATTGATTGTTTAAGAGTATGTTGTTTAGGCCGGGTGTGGTGGCTCACGCCTGTAATCCCAGCACTTTGGGAGCCCAAGGCGGTTGGATCATGAGGTCAGGAGATCAAGAACATCCTGGTTAACACAGTGAAACCCCGTCTCTACTAAAAATACAAAAAATTAGCCAGGCATGGTGGTGGCTGCCTGTAGTCCCAGCTACTCAGGAGGCTGAGGCAGGAGAATGGCGTGAACCTGGGAGGTGGAAGTTGCAGTGAGCCGGGATCGCGCCACTGCACTCTCAGCCTGGGCAACAGAGCAAGACTCCATCTCAAAAAAAAAAAGTATGTTGTTTAATTTTCACATATTTGTGAATTTTCCAGTTTTCTTTCTATTATTGATTTCTAGTTTCATTCCATTGTGGCTGGAAAATATATCTTGTATAATTTTAATCTTTTAACACATTTCTTGCAGGACAGGTCTACTGGTAGCAAACACCCTCAGCTTTTGTTTGTCGGGAAACATGTTGATTTCTCCATAGTTTTGAAGGACAGTATAGAGTTCTTCATTGACTATTTTTATTTATTTGTTTATTTTCATGGATCATATGTAAGACTTCAGGTGATTTTTTTCTTTTCTTTTTTTTTCTTTTTTTCTTTTTTTTTTTTTTTTTTGAGACGGGGTCTCGCCCTGTTGCCTAGGCTGGAGTGCAGTGGCATGATCTTGGCTCACTGCAACTTTTGCCTCCCAGGTTGAAGCAATTCTCATGCCTCAGCCTCTGGGATTATAGGCATGCACCAACATGCCTGGCTAATTTGTATTTTTAGTAGAGATAGGTTTTCACCATGTTGATCAGGCTGGTGTTGAACTCCTAGCCTCATGTGATCCGCCCATCTTGGCCTTCTAAAGTGTTGTGGTTACAGGCATGAGCCACTGTGCCTGGCCATATTTTTGCTTTCAGCAGTTTAAATATGTCCTCCTACTTTCTTCTGTTGGTCATGGTTTCTCATGAGAAATTGGCTGTTAATCTTATTGAGGATCCCTTGTATGTGACTAGTCACTTCTCTTTTGTTGCCTTTTTTTTTTTTTTTTTTTTTTTTTGAGTTAGAGTCTCACTCTGTCACCAGGCTGGAGTGCAGTGGCATGATCTTGGCTCACTGCAACCTCTGCCTCCCAGGTTCAAGTGATTCTCCTGCCGCAGCCTCCCAAGTAGCTGGGACTACAGGCATGCACCACCACACCTGGCTAATTTTTGTATTTAGTAGAGATGGGGTTTCACCATATTGGCCAGAATAGTCCTGATCCCTTGACCTTGTGATCTGCCTGCCTCGGCCTCCCAAAGTGCTGAGATTACAGGTGTGAACCTCACCTGGCCTCTTTTGTTGCTTTTAAGATCCTCTTTTTGTCTTTGGCTTTTGACAGTGTGCTTATAATGTGTCTAGGTGTGGGTATTTTGGTGTTTGTCCTAACAGTGTTCATTGAGTTTCTTGGATTTGTATATTTATATCTTCTATGAAAGTCAGGAAGTTTTTTACCATTATTTCTTCAAATATTCTTTTGCTCCTTTTTCCCTTTTCCTTCTGGAACTCTCATAATGTGTATGTTTGTCTACTTGACAGTGTTCCACAGGTCCCTTAGACTCTACACTTTTTGCGTTCTTTTTTTTTTCTTTTTCTCACACTTGATGACTTCAATGATTCTATCTTTAAGTTGGCTGATTCATTTTTCTGCCTGCTCAAATCTACTGTTGGACCCTATAGTTAATTTTTTCATTTCAATTATTTTATTTATTTTCAGTTCCAAAATTTGTCTTGTTCTTTTTAGATATTTTTTATTTCTTTATTGATAATCTCTTTCTCTCTCTCGTTCTCTCTCTGTTTTATAGAGTTGGGGTCTCACTCTGTCACCCAGGGTGGAGTGTAGTGGTACAATCATAGCTCAGTGCAGCCTCAACTTCTGGGCTCAAGTGATCTTCCCACCTCAGCCTCCCAAATAGCTGAGATTACAGGCATGTACCCCTGTACCTGACTTCTCATTTTGTTCATCCATTGTTATACTGATTTCCTTTATTTTTTTTGTGTCTTTCTTTAATGATTTGATCATACTTTAAACCGTTTTTTTAAAACCTTTGTCTAGTAACTCCAATTTCTGTCCTTCCTCCAGGATGGTTTCTGTCAATTAACCTTGGTCCTTTGAATTAGTCATATTTTTGTATTTTTTTGTATGCCTTGTGATTTTTCACTGAAAACTAGACATTTGATTACTACAATGTGGTAACTCTGAAAATCAGATTCTCCCCTTCACCAGGATTTTCTGGCTCCTTTTCTTTTTTTTTTCTTTCTGTTATTGAAGTCTATAGTAGCCTGTTTGTTTAGTGACATTCCCAAGCTATATTTCAAATACTATATTTTTTGTTGACATGGTAACTAAAGTCTCTGTTCCTTAGCTTGAGTTCAGCTAGTGTTTTGACGGAGAATTCCTTGAATGCTAGGAGCTGTCCTACTCTTTGCAAATTGACTCTGTGCTTGGGATTTCCTTCAACTCCATGCTAGGCTTGCACTGTGTCTAGGGATCAGTCTAAGGTGAAAGCTTAGGTTTTCTCAGGTCTTTTCTGAGCATGCATCTTGTTCTGGGCATGGACATGTCTGTCAAAATTCCCCATTTACTTTTGAGTGTCCTAATTTCCCAGAGAAACTCTACACAGATTTTGCCTTAGGTAGTCTGTTATATGTTGACCTGTAATCTTTTCTCCCAGGCATCTTAGGGTTGTTATTTTGGTTTGCAATATTTTTTAGCTTTTTTTGGCCTCAGTCCTGAGTTAGGCAAAGCAGAGAGAAAATCAACTTGCATCAATTTTTCTGTGTTAGCCCCTATACAGGTTAGAATAGAAATGTGGCTCAGACAAATGTGACATATACAATAACTTGCAAATAAAGTCTGCTCTGATCCCTCCAGAATTGGGGAAATGGTCTTGCACTGGGAACTTGGGCCATTGCCTCATCAGCATCAATCACTACTGCTTTCAGATAGCTGTGACATAGGAGAGGGGTGGGGCAAAGACATCTAGAATCACCTCAAAACCTTCTACAGGTGTGTGTGTGTGTGTGTGTGGGTGTTTGTTTGTTTGTTTTTGAGACAGGGTCTCGCCCTATTGCCCAGGCTGGAGTGCAGTGGCGCGATCTCAGCTCACTGCAGCCTCTGCCTCCCAGGTTCTAGTGATTCTGTTTCAGCCTCCTGAGTAGTTGGGACCACAGGCACGTGACATCATGCCCTGCTAATTTTTGTATTTTTAGTAGAGATGGGGTTTTGCCATGTTGGCCAGGCTGGTCTCGAGCTTCTGACCTCAAATGATCTGCCTGCCTCAGCCTTCCAAAGTATTGGGATTACAAGTGTGAGCCACCACGCCCAGCCCTTCTACATTTTTTTTTATTTTTGGAAGTAGTAAGGATTTTTATTGTCAAACAAGATGTCATAATAGAAGACACAAATAAATTAATTGTTCTGATAATTTTAGACTCCAGGGCCTCTCTATGGAAAGGTCAGCTTCTTATGCAGACAAGATACTATCCAAAACCAAAAACGGGTATTTGAGACGGTGTTCAAGACAATGACTGAACTTGTCCACAGTGAGGAGAAATAAGAAGGCAGTTTCCCTATTTCCTTTCCTCAGTGAGGTTATGTGTTGCATAAAGGGAGGTGGCTCATTTTGGTGAAAAATGCTTTCATACAGAAAAGTTTGAATTCTTTTACCTCCCCTTGTAGATGTTTCAGGCTCTGAACAAGGAAATCAAAATACGGTAACACTGGCTTCACATGAACCTCAAGACTATAATCTAACTGTACCTACCATCTTCTTTACTTTAGAAAAGTTTAGGCTGGGTGTGGTGGCTCATGCCTGTAATCCCAGTACTTTGGGAGGCCGAGGTGGGTGGCCTCGTCAAGAGATCAAGACGATCCTGGCCAACATGGTGAAACCCTGTCTCTACTAAAAACACACAAAAATTATCTGGGTGTGGTAGCACTGCCTGTAATCCCAGCTACTCAGGAGGCTGAGGCAGGAGAATCACTTGATCCCGGGAGGCAGAGGTTGTAGTGAGCCGAGATCACACCACTGCACTCCAGTCTGGTGACAGAGCGAGACTCCGTCTAAAAAAAAAAAAATGTTTAACGTCCATTTACCTATACCAAATCAGTAGACTGAATTTTCTCTCTTAGTAAGTTTTTAACCAAATTGGAGTTAAATTAATCTCATTTTAAAGTGCAAGGAAAGCTTTGCAAGACTAGTGTTTGTTCTGTGGCATAGAAAGAGGAGCATGCCTCCCCTGGCACTGACTTAAGAGGCCCCACATGAAGAACTGGCTGCAGGACAGTGATCCATTAAGTCTACCAAAAAGCGGGGGGACTCAAGGTTCAGCCTAGAAAGAGGGTCCCTGCCAAGTCTGGCTTTTACCTGTACCCAGGTCCCAAACAGATCTTGGGTTCCCTAAGTGACAAGGCTGGAGCACAGTGCCAGTCGTCAAGAGGGCCAGAGTCATCTCAGCGAGTCAGTGAGCATCTCTTAAAGTTCTTATCTAGGGTAAATGATGAAAAACTAGGTAATGAGGTCCCCCACACATCACTGCCGAAGTGATATAGTCTAGCTTTAAAGCAGTACAAAATGGCTTCTTCCACACAACAAGGGCAAGCTTTGTACTAATGTTTCTCAAACACCAATAATGTCTCCAGCTCTGGCCTCTAATTAACAGGTTTTTAAAAATATACCTTTCTGACCAGGCATGGTGGCTCATTCCTGTAATCCCAGCACTTTCAGAGGTCAAGGAGGGCGGATCACCTGAGGTCAGGAGTTCAAGACCAGCCTGGCCAACATGGTGAAACCCTGTCTCTACTAAAAATACAAAAATTAGCCAGGCGTGGTGGTGGGCACCTGTAATCCCAGCTACTCAGGAGGCTGAGGCAGGAGAATCACTTGAATCTGCGAGGCAAAGGTTGCAGTGAGCCAAGATTGTGCCACTGCACTCCAGCCTGGGCGACAGTGCAAGACTCCATCTCAAAACAAAACAAAACAAAACAAAACATATATATATATAGAGAGAGAGCCAAGTTAAAAGGGGAGTGGGGCAAGAAACCCTCTTTACCAGAGGACTGGAAGAGAAAGCACTCTAGAAGCCAGTGGGTGTGAGCACATTCAAGTCACCGGGTTTGAGATGATGGGTCCGTGGCAGCTGTTTATTCCCTTCCATCACTGGGATGTCCATCTTGGGCGGCTTCAAGTTTGCTGGATCTCTAGTCATGTGGTTGGCCTGGGCATGGATCAGTTCCACTGGAGAGGGCTTCTGGGCTCCTTGGTAGGCCTGGGTGGCAAAACTTCCAGAATCATCCTTCTGAAGGGATCTCGGTCCAAAGAGGCTCCACTTATCTGACAAGTTTCTGTCCTTATCTCCACTTCCAGAATCCATGGTGCTGGGATTTGGGCCAGGTAAAGCTGTGGAAGAACCAGAAGTGAACCAGCCTCTGGGTCTCTGCTCAGGGGAAGAGTGAGGAGTGCAGCTTGGGGCTGACTGGGCTGATGCAGGCTGCCTCTCTTCTCTTGTTCTCTCTCCACTCTGTAGCTTTAGTTGGTGGAGCACTTCCGCCACTCGAAGGTACTTGGTCTCCTCTGCGGTGAGGCCCTTGTGTGGTGTGTAGCCAGCACCTCTCAACCCTGCCTGTCGCCCAAAATGCTGAGTACTTTCCTGGGTCTGTTTTGTGAACAGAGAATTCATGATGATATGGGTAGCTTTAGACTTCACCACTGGGACTGTGTCACACTGTCAATGACAGGGTCATGGCAGGGGCGGGTAGGCTGGTCTCTCCTTCCTCCTCCTTGGTGAGGCACTGATACTTGCACTCTGGAATCACTGGCTTCCAGTGGACGCTGCCCGTGTCCGATGGAGGAGTCATGGGCACAGGGTCCTCGAGGGCATCATCATAGCTGGATGCCCAGCAGTTTATCCTGATGGGCAGGGACATCTTTCCTAGAAGCCCACCCAGCCTCAAGAGCAGGCACTTCTGGTTGTGTTGAAGCCAGTGAAAGACTGGGACCCAGGTGCTTTTTCCATATATATAGAATTCTGAGCTGAGTCCCTCCCACCACAGTGAAATGATGTAATGACTAAGCTGACAGATGTTAATGAGGAACACAGTGCAGCAGCTGCAAATTAGCAAAGCTTCCCAGGAAGAGTGCATCCAGAGGTTCTGCTATCCTGCTGCTGCTGCTGCTGGGCTGCCTGCGGCCTGGAGTCCAGCGCTAAAGAGGTTCTGAGGGCCCACGTCTCCCGAGAGGCTGTGACGCAGTCTGGACTGAAGGCATGGTGAGAGCAGTGGCAACACCGAAGGTCTCCAGGACCCAGCAGACAACACTGCCCCCCTGCTATGGTTTTGAAGTGTCTTTTTCTGTACTCAGCCCTTACGTGGTTGCTATAAACATTAGACTATTTTTTAAAGTAGTTACAAATGGTTGGTTTGTTTGTTTGTTTGTTTGTTTGTTTTTTGAGACGGAGTCTCGCTCTGTCGCCCAGGCTGGAGTGCAATGGTACGATCTCGGCTCACTGTAACCTCTGCCTCCCGGGTTCAAGCGATTTTCCTGCCTCAGCCTCCCGAGTAGCTGGGATTACAAGCACCCCCGCCACCGACCGCACCCAGCTAATTTTTGTATTTTTAGTAGAGACAGGGTTTCATCACGTTGGCCAGGCTGGTCTCAAACTCCTGGCCTCAAGTGATCCACCCACCTCGGCCTCCCAAAGGGATTACAGGCGTGAGCCACTGCAACCTCCACCTCCTGGGCTCAATAGAAACATTTTTTTTTAAGTTTCTGCTGTAAAAAAATATATTTCTGTTGAGCCTAGGAGGTGGAGGTTGCAGTGAACCAAGATTACACCACTGCTCTCCAGCCTGGGTGACAGAGTGAGACCCTGTCTCCAAAAAAAGAAAGTTTCTGTTGGGGGAGAAGAGCTTGGAGGGTCATACTCTGCCATTGTGCTGACGTTGCTGTATTTGTTTTTACATTCAAACTTTCTTTTGTAATAAAATATATCTTGAAAAGCATCAGTGGTGGTGTGGCTTTATTCATTTTTAGTTTGAGAATATGCACATTTTCTTCCTAATATTTGGCAGTTTGAAATAATCAAAAGGCTCAGGACCCAGTTAAGAGAGTTTATTCAAGTGCACTGTCAGGGTGGCCATCTCAGGACACGTGGACACCAAAGAATGGTGATTGGTGCTCCTGGTGTCCTGGTGTGGGGAAAAGTGAGGGCTGCTTATGAGGTCAAAAATGGAAGTGTTGAATGGAATCACAGCATTTTCCATAGAGAGGCTAACATGCAGATATAAGATTTGATTGGCTACTATCGATTCCACGCTAAGGGGGTGGCTTAACATCCTATTGTAGGGAGATAACAACCACAAGGTCTCCAGCATCATTTTGTGTAGGTTTGAATGAAGAATGGGAAGTCTGGTTGGCATGTAACATCTCAACACAAAAGTCAGGAAGCAATGGTCATGCACCAGAGGAAAAGAACGGTCATGTTATATGACTCAGTTTGCAGGGCTTAACTTTTATTCTTAGCACAGTACATTTGGAAGGTGCTAAAATTTTATCTCTTTTCACATACGGCAGGCGGATACATCAGTGTCCCAGGCGGGGCTGGCTATGCTTTAGAGTACTGGCTGTCCCTGTGTTCTCTACTGTCTATCAAGTGGTACCCAATCTCCTACCACAAAGGGCTCGAGGTTTTCAGCCAGACAACAGTGTGTGTGCCTTGATTTGCAGCTCAGATAAATATCTTCTCATAGTCAGTTCAGCTGAAAAACATTTATTGAGTACTATATGTCAAGTACGGCAGAACACATGGGGGTATAACTGAGGACATAGAGGATCCATGCTAGAGGAATGTACTTCCAGTGAGAGAACAGACGGTAGGCAAACAATTTTAGGACAATGGGGAGCTGCCATGATGGAGGCATGTAGATGGTCCTGTGGGAGCACAGAGCAGGAACTTCCTGGAACTGAGCATTTTTGTTTGTTTGTTTGAGACAAGGTCTTACTCTGTTGCCCAGGCTAGATGCAGTGGTGCCATCACAGCTCACTGTAACCTCCAACTCCTGGGCTCAAGCGATCCTTCTGCCTTAGTGTCCTGAGTAGCTAGGAATACAGGCATGCACCACCACACCTGGATAATTTTTAAAATTTTCTGCCGACAGAGGGTCTCACTATATTGCCCAGGCTGGTCTCAAACTCCTGGCCTCAAGAAATCCTTTTATCTTGACCTCCCAAAGTGCTGGAATGACAGGAGTAAGTCACCGGCCTCAGCCCTGGGAGCTGAGTCTTGATGAGAAGTTAGCTAAATGAAGAAGGAAGGGCCACCAGATGAAAAATTCATAACAAAGCCTGAATGAAAACTCGGGATTTCGGAGTCCTGGTCCAGTGTTTTTCTTACTTATCTGGGTTTTCAGAATCTCGTCTAGAAGAGACTCATATTCTTGTTTAATCTGGCAGGGCTTTTTTTCTTGTAAGGTTTGTTGGGAAATGAGGTATTTTGACCTGCTTGACTGATTCACCTACTAAAAGGATTATATAGTCACTGCTCTAGAAAACCACTTCCTCAGTGAGAATGTGGTCCCGTAGATTGTGCGTCCTGGTTTTTCACACATTATTATCATTCTTTTTTGTTTGTTTGTTTCAGACGGAGTCTCGCTCTGTCACCCAGGCTGGAGTGCAGTGGTGCGATCTTGGCTCACTGCAACCTCTGCCTCCCAGGTTCAAGCAATTCTCATGTCTCAGCCTCCCAAGTAGCTGGGACTACAGGCATGCACCACCATGCCCAGCTAATTTTTAAATTTTTAGTAGAGACAGGGTTTCGCCATGTTGGCCAGGCTGGTCTTGAACTCCTGACCTCAGGTGATCCACCCACCTTGGCCTCCCAAAGTGCTGGGATTACAGGCGTGAGCCGCCACACCCAGCCTATTATTTATTATTCTAACCTGTGTTCCAACACACTTCAATGACCTGCTTGTTGAATGGCTTTCAGAAGGGAGGCTTTGCCTTTCTTCCTGGGATAGAGTCATCTGAGTTTGTCTTGGCTCAGTTCTAAGTGACTGGTCTCTTTACCTGTCATCCCCATTGCCAGCTTAGATCTAGGCAGCATCCCATGAGACTCAATCCTTCCTGGAATCAGATGAGTGGACAGTGGGGTGGGCCCTGCCAGCCCAGCCAAACAGTCAGATCCTCTCCCTGAGGATCTGGAATAGGGATGCTTCCAGTTCCGGGGACTGACTTGATTAGCTATAGGTTCCAAGTACAGTTATGTAGAGTCAAGTTTCATGGTGAGGCTTACTTAGACAAAGCAATAAGCAAACTGAAGTTGTGAAGGAGCAGAAACCCTGAACAGCAAGGGGAAGCCAGCCCATAGGGAGGATATGGGAGCAGGTGTACAGAGAGAAGCCAAGATGAGAGATGATGTGGCTTGAGAAACGGTTGCCATTCATTCTCTGGTTCCCTGGAGACCCAGCTGCACTTCCTACAGCTGGGTTCTGTTACATCGCTCTGTGTCTTGTACAATAAACCTTTTGCTTGAGCTGGCTTGCGTGGGTTTCTGATCCTTCAACAAAAACTTCCTGTGATTCTAGCAGTCCCAAATCGATTTCTCCCCAGATCTTTCAGCTGACATGATTTCTTCCCCTTTTGTTACCTAGTCTATGAGAATGAAGGAGATTCTGTCGGCATCAGTGATTTTCTTTTTCCAGCTATTGCAAAGGTATTTTACATTTGCTAGGGGTTAGAGGCAATGACTCGGTACTTTCTCCAACACAGGGGGAGCAGATTCATCGGTGAAGTCAATGATGGCCACTTACAAGCAGTTCCACATAAGCAGTGTATTGTAACACAGAAGTATTGAATAATTGAAAGCATAACCATACTAATAGGATCTTTGCCTGGCTACATGATAGCCATGAGAAATATCAGACCACGAGCCAGGGAGACAAGGTGCATAGTTCCAACCTTGCCTCTAATTGGCTGCGTGATTAAAGGCATCAGGGGCGTTCAGTGCACCTTGGGGTTTCAGCGGCCTCCTCCCCTTGCTCACAGGCTCAAATGAGACAAGGTATATGAAAGCAGTTTGAAAAGGTACAGAGTGCCTTACCCTGAGATATGTGAAGGACTATATTTAGTTACTGGGAGCTGGAAGGGCCTAATGTCTTTCCCACATGTCCTATCAAAGACACATGTGCAGGACAGCTGGTGAATACAGATCGGTGAAGTGCTGACCCTGGCTGTGCTTTGGAATCACAGTGGTGCTTTACAGACCCAGAGGGGCCGCCTTACCCAGTCTCTCTGAATCTGAAGCTTCTTGAGCAATGCTTGGCAGCCAGGGCTGAGAATCTCTTCTGCTGCCCTGTCTCCAAGTTAGGCGCCGAACTCTGGGAGTCAGCAGGCCTATGTTGGCTTCTGACGCTTGGATGTCCCGCCCAGCCCCTGGAGGTCAGAGCCCAGTGAAGAGACAGCAGGAGCCAGAGCCCCAAGCTGAGCACAGACACTTACTCATCCTCCCCCTCGCTGGCCACACTAATGGGAATAGTTGGGAGAGAAACTCTTCAGTGCTAACAGGCTGCAGCTGCTGTTGTGGCAGCAGCCAGGTGGTGAGTCGGCACAGTCGATGCCTGGCTTAATTTGCAGCAGGAAGCGGGGCTGGGGACAGTCTGCTTCCTCTGCCTCTCTTTGTCCCCAGCAGAGCCCTGCCTCCTGGTGAGCGGTGCAGCTGGGAGAGGTAATTGGATTTGATGAACATCTAGCTCTATGGAGACAGAACACTTTAGGTTTTCCCATGAAGGTCAAAGGCAGGCCAGATAGTTTTAAGATTTGACCTCTGGCATCTGAAAAGACAAATAATGGAATTTTTTTTTTTTTTTAGTGAGTTTGTGGTTGAAATTTTGGCTATTTCAAATGGGTAGGAGGGTACACAAAATGACTGAATTTAACCCCTGAGAATAAATTCTGGACTGATCTAGAATCTTCTGGAGAATGGCCTGGCCCTTCCCACCTCTCTAGCCTCATGTCTTACACCTCACGGATACACTGGCATCTTCCAGGCACGGGCCCACCCCACACTTCCACTTCTGGAAATGTGTTTTTTTCTCTGTATAGGTTGACTTTATCCTAACTACCCATTTTGCTGGGCCAACCCCTGTATATCCTTCCAAACTCAGTTTGAGACACTTTTCCAGGCAGGTGCTCTGCCTCCTCCCTGTGTGAATTTGCATCATAGAAGATCCTGTGTGCAGCTTGCTTGGATCCCTTCTGCCATGCACTGCTGCAGAGGGGGCAAATACTGAGCCGCTCCAAGTCACATTCTCTTTGCATCTAAGATGGGACTAGTAATACCCATCCCTTAATGATGTGGCAAGGATGAAGTTGACTCATTTGTACCCAGTGTTTAAAATGCCATCTGATAGTTAGTAAATGTTTGAATAATTGAAAGCATAACCATACTAATAGGATCTTTGCCTGGCTACATGATAGCCATGAGAAATATCAGACCACGAGCCAGGGAGACAAGGTGCATAGTTCCAATCAACAAGTGATTGCTACTGTTCCTCTTCTGGGATGACAGGTTTCCACATCTGCCTCCGGGGACTAGCTCAGGCCCTGCACTTAGTGTGGGTCCAGTAAGGGTCTGACAAGGACTACTTGAGGGAGAAAGAACCTGATAAGTTTCTTAAAATCATCAATAATTATAATCCGTTTTTTTGAGCTGATTGTCATTTCTGCCCAATTATTAGGCAGTGCTGTAATGTATGCAAACATAACATTTACATAATACTTTCTGTGTAAGTGGCATGTTCTAAGTAGAGTAACTTAATATAGTAACCCTATGAGCAAGTCTTATTAACTTTAATTTCATCATTTGCAGTTTGCAAATGAGGAGCAGCCTGGTTCCGGAACTGGTGGCTCTGATCGCTACACCACAGTGTAGTTGCTAGAAATGCAATGAAAGCTCATCCGAGTGAAAAAGGCCCAGCCAAGCTCAGGCCCCTGGAGGCCAGAATGGAGTGGGCTTTGGTCTTGGATGGGAAGCACGTCTGTCAGAGAAGGCAGCACAGTTCAGGAAAATACCCCTGGCCAACATTCTCAGATGAAGCCCCTCAAAACAAGCAGCTTAGGAAGCTCACAGGGCAGAGGAACAAGTGTGCGGGTGGACAGGGCTGGGCAGGGAGAACAGAGCCTTAGTGCCCTCCCCTGGAGGAGGCACAGAACCTCCCCACATGGTCCTCCCTTAGCCTCAGTCACCAGCTGAGAGAACAGCCTCTTAAAATTGCACCCTCTGCCTGCCTTTGTCTCCCATTTTGTGACCCTGAGAAGTCAGGCATCTCTCTCACAGTGTCAGTGTGGCTTTAGAAACGCTGTTTTGTGTCCTTGTTGTTGTGTGCACTTTTTGTGGACACCTATGCCCTGGAAGGTGCCCCAGTCGCATGTTGTATTAACTGCGTCTTTTTATTTTCTGTATTCTGATGCTTTGCTGTTTTAGGGCCTTGCTGTCTTGGCGGGAGTCCCCCCTCCCAGGGCTAATTACTAGAGAAAGTCAAGGGCTGGCCTGAGAGCGCACCTTTCATATGCAAACCAACCAATCTAGAATGCCTACCAGCGACACTTCCTCTATTGCACTTACACTCCTGACCAGGCCATGATTCCCTGCCCTCATCACCCCAGGGCCAGGTAGCAAACAACTAGGCACAGTCCCTATACCCCAGAGCTTGCTGAAATTACTCAGACAAGCCAATCCTCAACCCGCTTGCCCTGTTTTGCATGCTCTTTCCCTTGGAAACCACAATAGAGAGCCTTGCCCATGGTTTTCCCCTCTCCCTCTGTCTTCAACCAACTCTAGTGCTTGCCTGTGTGCCCCGTGTGGAGGAGTGAGTGCCTCCTCCTCTTGGTAATTGCAACAAGCCACCTTATCAATGGCAGTCTTCTGATCTGTTGGCATCATCAGACCTGAATAATGATAAAATCTACATTTCAAAACATATATGTATTGCCCTAGAATTGCGTTTGGGAAAAACTCAAACTGTTTCTGTCAGGCCTCTGAGCCCAAGCCAAGCCATCGCATCCCCTGTGACTTGCACGTATATATATGCCCAGATGGCCTGAAGTAACTGAAGAATCACAAAAGAAGTGAAAATCCCTGCCCCGCCTTAACTGATGACATTCCACCACAAAAGAAGTGAAAATGGCCGGTCCTTGCCTTAAGTGATGACATTACTTTGTGAAAGTCCTTTTCCTGGCTCATCCTGGCTCAAAAAGCTCCCCCACTGAGCACCTTGCAACCCCCACTCCTGCCCGCCAGAGAACAAACCCCCTTTGACTGTAATTTTCCTTTACCTGCCCAAATCTTATAAAACGGCCCCACCCCTATCTCCCTTGGCTGACTCTCTTTTCGGACTCAGCCCGCCTGCGCCCAGGTGAAATCAACAGCCATGTTGCTCACACAAAGCCTGTTTGGTGGTCTCTTCACATGGACGCGAGTGAAAGTTTCTTCTCTCTTACATCACAACAATTTAATGCGACCCAATGTGGAGGGGATTTCTTCCCACCACCAAGCAAGCCATCGGTTCTGTAGTGGACACCAACTGGGTGTCCTCCAATTCAATTCCCACACTGTCTACCTGGAGAGAGCATCAGACCCCACAGGTTGAGGGCTCAGTCCCCAAGACTGCCCCCCACCCCAGACACCAGTCTCAAGTCTGGGCTTCTGGAACTCTGACCCACCAGCTTCAAGTTGGGGTTCCCATGACACCTCTTTGAGTTCAGCTAATTTGCTGGAGCGGCTCATAGAATTCAGGGAAACACTAACTTATGTTTAGCAGTTTATTATAAAGGATATTACAAAGGAGAGATGCGTAGGGTGAGGTATGGGGGAAGGGGCACAGAGCTTCCATGCCCTCTCTGGGCATGCAACCCTCCAGGAACCTTCATGTGTTCAGCTATCTGGAAGCTCCTAGAACCCTGCCCTTTTTGGGTTTATGAAAACTTCATTAGGTAGGCATGATTGATTAAGTCATTGGTCATTGGCCATCAGCTTGACCTTCAGCCCCTCTCACCTCTCCAGGGGTTAGGGGGTAGGGCTGAAAGTCCCAGCCCTCTAATTATACCTTGTTCTTTCTGGTGACCTGACTGGGCCCCATCCTAAAGCTATCAGTCAACATAAGCATACAAAAATGCATCACTTTGGAGATTCCAAGGATTTTAAGAGTTAAATGCCAGGAAACGGGATAAAGACCAAATATATATTTTACAATGTCACAAGTTGTAACCAGCACCAAGGTCAAAAAACATTACCAGCCATTTCCAGAGCATTTTGTTCTTTTACAATCCAACAAACATGTATTAAGTGCCTTCTATTCCTCATGCCTTTACCGATTCACTGCACATTTGACAATCATGTACTGGGTGTCAGACTCTGCTTGGGAGTCACTGAAGATACACTGGTGAGCAAAACAGACACAGTCCCTGGCTTCACCAGGCATGTCTTTTAGTGAAAAAGACAGTTATTAGTCAAATAATCACACAAATGAATTTGCAATTGCAAATGATGGTAAATGCAAGGAAGAAAAATCAAGATAGCTAACATTTATCGTGCATTGCTCTCACAGGCGGCTCTGTGGATTATCTCCTTTAGCCCACTCCCTCCCTTAGGCCTATTAGGTGAATCTTGTTAATATCTACAGTCTACGCTGGAGGAAACTCAAGTGAGGCCTTGCCCAAAGGCCCCCAGCTGGAGAGGTAGAGCTGGAATTGAACTTGACTGGCTGATGTATGTCTCTGCATATATTCACCACGCTGCAAAACTGCCAAGCCCTACTGAGCCACCAGCTCTGAGGGTATAACTCACACCAGGGCTAGGCATGGTGGCCTGTGCCTGTAGTCTCAGTTACTTGGGAGGCTGAAGCAGGAGGATCACTTGAGCCCGGGAAGTTGAGGCTACAGTGAGCTATGATCACATCACTGCATTCCTGCCTGGGTGACAGAGTGAGACCCGGTCTCAAAAAAACCAAAAAACAGGCCAGGCGTGGTGGCTCAGTCTATAATCCCAGTAGTTTGGGAGGCCAAGGTGGGTGGATCAGGAGTTCAAGACCAGCCTGGCCAACATGGTGAAACCCTGTCTCTACTAACAATACAAAAATTAGCCAGGCATGGTGGCAGGTGCCTGTAATCCCAGCTACCCAGGAGGCTGAGGCACCAGAATCGCTTGAACCCAGGAGGCAGAGGTTATAGTGAGCCGAGATTGAGCCACTGCACTTCAGCCTGGGCACCAAAGCAAGACTCCATCTCAGAAAAAAAGAAAAGAAAATCATAAGGAAGATAAAATATATTTACTCTTCACTAAGTGGAAGTGGATCATCATCATCAAGGCCTTCATCCTCATGTTGCGTAGGCTGAGCAGGAGGAGGAAAAGGAGGGGTTGGTCTTGCTGTCTCAGGGGTATTGGGGGAGAAGAGGTGAGGAGGTGGAAAGGGAGGCAGGTGAACTTGGTATAAATTTTATTGAAAAAAAATTCACATGTAAGTGGACTTGCACAGTTTAAACCCCTATTGCTCAAGAGTCAATTGTATTCCACTTTTCTATCTATCAGGTAGAGCTGCTTCCCAGGGTGAGGGTGGACACAACCTAATTCAGGATGTGTCTCTCTGAGGGCAGTGTGGTGCCCTCAAAGGAGGGAAGGCTTTAATGGGGTCGAATCCTTGCTTTGCTACTTACTGGCTGTGTGACCTTAAACAAGTTACTTAACCTTTATGAGCTGGTTTTGGTGTTGGCCCAGTGCGATCCAATATTAATCTTGCTGGGTTGTGTTAGGATTCAGGTTCATGTGCAGCTAGACCTTGGCAGACAACAGGCCCTCTCTTCCTCATTTACAGGGCATGTGTTCTTCCTACAGGCACTGGACCAGAACTTGAACAGTGAAGCCAACTTACTCTGGGCAGCAGCAAACAGACCCTTCATGACGTCACAGGGATGCCAGAGTCTTTTCTGTATCTTCTTTGTCCTGCTTTTCTTGCTCCTCTGGGACTCCCATGCAAGGCCAGACTTAAACAGGCACCAAAGACACAGCCTCCAAATGATTGCTGTGCACAGAACCAAGTGACCTCAAATACCCTCATACTTTGTTGGCCTCAATTTTGTAAACATATGTACAAGATCGCGTATCCCTCAGGACTTCTGTGAGAAGACAGTCTTCCTAGCGCGAGGTATTTTCAGCAGATGTGTTAATGCTAAGAAAACAAAAAAATTTCCACACCGATGGGAGAGAAGTATGTATTGGTTTTATGCCAGCTCCCCACCCTCCAACTGTGACTTGTAGGAGAGGAGTGAGCTTGGCAGAGACTAAACTTGCTCCTTCATTTTTGATGCCATTTCTTTGATTTTTTGGCTTGACCCAACAGCATCTCAGGAGTTCTAACAAAATAAACAAACAAAAAACCCCACCATGTAGAAATTACTTGAGATCATGTAATAACTAAAATCTTTTATATAAGTTTTAGTTCGTTTTATTAACTATGTCAAAAAAATAACAGGAACAGATACCATATAAATGAATAAATGGTTCTTATACATAGGCTCAGCCCAGACTCAAGGGACAAACACATCTTCTCCATATATATGTAGGGCACACTTCCTGGTCTTGACAGATGCTCCACAAATCACTTTATGCTGGTTTTGCCCAGGGTGAGGAGTTATATTTGGAGTTTCTTCCAAGTCTCCAGTTCTGTGACAGAGACAAATCCCTGCCCTTTCAAGTATTGAACTAGAAACATGTTTTATCTCCGTTTAGGGCAAGAGACAGGACCCAAGGAAGATACCTTCTTTTTCCCCCTAGACCTTTGGATTGATTTTGCTAGCTCCCAATACATATTGCCGTTTATTGTAAATGCTGGAGTTGCCCTGGCCTCGGCCTTCAGATGGTGGTGGTGTCCATGGTGGTGGGAAGGAGAAAAATGTGCTGAGTTAATCTCTGACCACATTGTGCTAATGACTGGTAATGGAGGTCAGCTGAGCTGAGGGTACCCCAGAGACCATTTATCTTGCTTATCAGAGGGTATCAAATATGCCAATTTTTTTGTGAGGGCCTGGGGATGCTTTAACCAGGAATCATATCTTTGGACATTGGCTTTTTCTGTTTTTAATCGAAAAGTAAAAAAATGAAGTCCATCACAGGTCTTATCTTTCCCTCTATGTATTTGGATGTCTTGAACCAACTTCTCAGTTATATGACTAGCAATTACTGTCACTCACCTCACAATCAATAATGTTCTCTCCTTTTTTTTCTTGTTTCTTAAAAAATGCTTTTATGAAATAGTAAGTAGAGTTTCCACAGTTGCTTAGGATACTGCAAGAACATGTCACTCCTACCTGACAAGAAAAATCCAGGTAATCTACAAAATAATAATTTTTTCAAGGTTATAGGTTATAAAGCAACCAGGGGACTGAATTTCAAATGTGCTAAATCAAAGGTGTGGCTTCACAGTCTTGTGCTAAGACCTGAGAAAGAGAGAAAGGTTAGACTACTCAGTCATGCATAAAGCTCTTTGAAGAGGTTGAGGTCCTCCAGGTTAAGGGTCTTGTGCTGGGGAGAGTAGCGTGGATTATCCAGGTGGACCCAATCTAATCACATGAGTGCTTAAGAGTGGAGAACATTTCCTGGCTGCTGAGAACCAGAGAAATGGCTCCATAAAAAGGACTCTGCCCACTGTTGCCAGCTTTGAAAATGGTGGAAGGGAGTCACAAGCCAAGGGATGTGGATGATCCCACTTTAAATGTAAAGACATATAGAGGATAAAAGTAAATGGATGAGAACAGTAAACAAAGCAGGAGTGCTTATATTAACATCAAAGTCAAATCCCAAACCAGGAATTTTACCAGGGATAAGAAGAGCCTTTCTATAATGATGGAGGGGCCAATTCCTTAAGGAGCTATAACAACCCCAAGTGTGTAGATATGGAAAAATACAGCTCCAAAATACATAAAGCAAAACATGATGGAACTAAAGAAGAAATAGATATATTCACAAGCACAGCTGCAAATGTCAACATTCCATTCTAAATGACTGATAGAACAAGTACGTAAAAAGAATCAATAAGAATATAGAAGACTTGAATGACACAATTGTGGGAGCTGGCCTCCAAGATGGCCTTCAGTGGTATTCATACGTATGTGTAATACCCTTCACATCATATTTGAAATTCTTGCAAAATTTCTTTTATTTTTAAAATTAAAACAGTTATTCTATTTTTTAACATTTATTTATTTGTGTTTATTAATTGTTTTAGAGACAGGATCTCACGATGTTGCCCAGGTTGGTCTGGAACTCTTGAGCTCAAGGGATCCTCCCATCTCAGCCTCCTGAGTAGCTGGGACTATAGGTATGCACCACCATGCCTGATTCAAAATTTTGTCTCTTGTTCTTCACACCTCATTCTATGTCACTTCTTCATATTTATTCTTCATTCCATGAATTCCCTCTTCATCTGTGTCTCATCTGCTGTTAAACCAACATTGAGTTTTTAATTTCGATTATCATGTTTTGGCTGGGTGTGGTGGCTCACACCTATAATCCCAGCACTTTGGGAGGCTGAGGCAGACAGATCACTTGAGGCTAGGAGTTCGAAACCAGCTTAACCAATATGGCAAAGCCCCTCTCTACTAAAAATACAAAAATTAGCTGGGCATGGTGGCACATGCCTGTAGTCTCAGCTACTCGAGAGGCTGAGGCATGAGAATCGCTTGTACCAGAAGTTGCAGTGAGTCGAGATTGTACCACTGCACTCCAGCTTGGGTTCCAGCCTGGGCAACAGAGACAGACAGACTCCGTCTCAAAAAACAACAATAAAAAATTATTACGTTTTTCATTTTCCAAATCTTGGCCATATAACATTTTTATTCTTTAAAAATATTGTATATATTCTTTTATGTTCTATGTCTAATTTAAATTTCAGAAGTCCTTGTGGATTTGATTTTGTTGTTTTTCCTGGGTCCATCTCATGGAGATTTGTTTTCTTGGTATTAAGTGATATTTTTTGTGACTTCATATTTGTTGGAATTTTATTTGTGGGAATTCTTTGTGTCCCCTGATGAAAGTAGTTTTCTTCAGGAAGGATATGTATCTGCTAGATGGGCACTATTTTTTTTTTTTTTTTTTTTTTTAGATAGAGTCTTGTTCTTGTTGCCCAGGCTGGAGTGCAATGGCGCGATCTCGGCTCACTGCAAACTCCGCCTCCCAGGTTCAAGCAATTCTCCTGTTTCAGCCTCCCAAGTAGCTAGGATTTCAGGCGCCAGCTACCACGCCCAGCTAATTTTTGTATTTTTAATAGAGATGGGGTTTCACCATGTTGGCCAGGCTGGTCTCGAACTCCTGACCTCAGGCAATCCACCTGCCTTGGCCCACCAAAGTGCTGGGATTACAGGCGTGAGCCTCTGTGCCTGGCCTAGATGGGCACTATTAACTCAGAACCTGGTTTTTAAAAAGACTCAGTTTGAAGTTTTTCTAGCCATAAAAATAGTATGGATTTGGGCTACAAAACTATCTGAGAACTACCATGAGGTTATGAATCCCTGAGTTTTTTTCTCCCATCCATATAATGCCAATTTATGAGACAGCAATTTTCTTCATAGTCTACTCTGGGTGAGGGCAGGCTTACTTCTGATTTGCTCTTGCACTGAGAGTATACCCCTTTGGGATCCTAGCATTATGATGGTATCTCTCTCTCTCTCTTTCTTTTTTTTTTTTTTTTTTGCTGTTTAATAACAGTAATAATAATAGTCATTTGAGAGTAGTTTGAGGTTTACAGAAAAGTTGCGAAGAGTACAGAGAGTTCCTGCATACTCAGTTTCCCCATTAAGATCCTTCCATTACCTTGCACAAGTGCTTTTAAGCCATCTCTCTCTCATTTCTTTCTTTCTTTTTTTTTTTTTTTGAGATGGAGTTTCGCTCTTGTTGCCCAGGCTGAAGTGCAATCCCAAGTAGATGGGATTACCGGCACATGCCACCATACCGGGCTAATTTTTGTATTTTTAGTAGAGACGGGGTTTCACCATGTTGGTCAGCCTGGTCTCAAACTCCTGACCTCAGGTGATCCACCCGCCTCGGCCTCCCAAAGTGCTGGGATTACAGGCGTGAGCCACAGCGCCCAGCCATAGCCTTCCCTTCCCTTCCCTTCCCTTCTTTCCTTTCTTTCTTTCTGAACAGTAAGCCTTTTATTTATTTATTTAGGTAACATGAATAAGTTCTTTAATGGCAGTTTCTAAGATTTTGGTGCACCCATTACCTGAGCAGTGTAAACTGTACCCAACGTGCAGTTTCCTATCCCTTACTCCCTCCCACCCTTCCCTGAGGCTCCATGGTCCATTGCATCATTCTTAGGCCTTTGCATCCTCATAGCTTAGCTCCCGAAGGTATCTCTTAGTACATTTCCCACCCTAGGCAGCCCCTGGTCTTTGTCTCCTGTGTCTTATGTCCCTTGGGGTATAAAAACAGGAACTTTGGTAAGTTTCTATCTTATTATGATGGTTTCTTATTTTTTCTGTATTTTAAAACTTTTCATTTAAGCTAATTTCTCACTTACAAAAAAATTAGAGAAAATTACCATATACCTTTTCCCAAATTCCATAAACATTAATATCTTACATAATTACATTATGATGATCAAAATCAAGGCATTGATTTTGATAATACGATTTTCTGATTTATGACTGATTTGTATTTTATTATTAGAAGTTTACTTATAATAATTATAAGTAAGTGGTTCCGTATGTATGGACTCCTTCTAGATTCTTTTCTTGTCTTTTCTTGTCTTTCTTCTTTTGTTTTACTATTACCAACAATGATGAAATGAATGAATACACAGCTAAATGAATCTTATTTTATTAACAAAGAAAATTGTATTTACTTAGAAGCATTTAGAATGTCAACAAAACAAACTGCAACTTTTTTTTTGTTTTGCGGCTACAGAGTGGTATTCATTAACAGAACAACAATTATTTCATATAAGCTGCATCAGAAACAACCGAAGATGAAAAAACTACCATCCCCATACGTTCCTAATTTGTGCTGTGCACCAACAACAACCTGCTTGAAATATCCATGCCAATTTACAACCCCATACTGTATCAGGCAAAGTTAGTGGCTATTGAACATATCACCAAGACAGGGCTATCTAAAGACACATTCAGTAATGTGTTAACTATACAAAAAAAAACACTGTACAGTTAAGAATAAATCTTACACAGCCTCCCATTTCAATGTCTTGCTTTAAAAGGAGTGAGTTGTGTACAGGGGGGTTAAATGCTTTAAAGACAAGAAAAAGAAAACTGTGCTAGAACCAACTTATTCACCATCGTCATCTTCTTCATATTCACTTCAACTTCTTCCTCCTTGTCCTTTTCATCTTCCTTCTTTTTCTCACTTTTTCAGCTTGACGACTCCCTTTTTTGCTGCATCAGGCTTTCCTTTAGCTCAATATGCAGCAATATCCTTTCTGTATTCTTCCTTTAGCTTTGCAGCCTTCTTTTCATAAGGCTGCTTGTCATCTGCAGCAGTGTTATTCCACATCTCTCCCAGTTTCTTTGCAACATCACCAATGGACAGGCCAGGATGTTCTCCTGTGATTTTGGGGTGATACTCAGAACAGAACAAGAAAAAGGCTCATGGAGGCCTCTTTGGTGCATTGGGATTCTTGAACTTCTTTTTTCTCTCCCCTTTGGAAGTTATATGGCTTTTCATTTCTCTTTCATAACAGGTCTTGTCTGCCTTTGCCATGTCTTCAAATTTTCCTTTCTCGTTAGCATATATGGTCTTCCACCTCTCTGAGCACTTCTGAGCAAACTCTGAGGAGTTGACTGGAGCAGCTGGGTACTTCTTCCTATGCTCCTCCTGACAAGCTTGCACAAAGAATGCAGATGATGAAATTTTTGCCTCTCGGCTTCTTAGGATCTCCCTTTACCATGTTTAGTTATCTTTCCTCAGCGAGGCACAGAGTTGCCCAGTGCCTATCTGGCAAGTCCAGCTCTCCCTTGTCCCAGTGTTGTCTCTATGGAGCTCAACGTACTGCAATGGCTGTGAGAGCGGGAGCCAGACGCAGCCTCTGTACTTTCTCTGCTCTGTAGCCAGGTACATGAATCTTTAGGTACTTGTAGAAACTTACTCATAGGGTAAATTCATAGAATGGTATTACTGGGTTAAAATGCTCCTACATAGATAAATATTGCCAACAGCATCATCTTTTTATTTTAATTTTAAAAACTTACATAGAGTAAAATCTACTTTTTTGGTGTAAAGTTTTATGAGTTTTACATGTGCATAGAATCTTGAAACTAACAGCATAGGCAGGATACAGAACAATTTCAACACCTTAAAGAATTCCTGGCCAGGCTCAGTGGCTCACACCTGTAATCCCAGCACTTTTGGAGGCCAAAGCAGGTGGATCGCCTGAGGTCAGGAGCTCCAGACCAGCCTGGCCAACATAGTGAAACCCTGTCTCTACTAAAAACACAAAAAATTAGCTGGGCATGGTGGCAGGTGCCTGTAATCCCAGCTACTCAGGAGGCTGAGACAGGAGAATCACTTGAACCTGGGAGGTGGAGGTTGCAGTGAGCCGAGATCATGCCATTGCACTCCAGCCTGGGCAACAAGAGCAAAGCTCTGCCTCAAAAAAAAAAAAAAAAAGAATTCCCTTCTGCTTTCCCTGTGTAACCAGACTCTCTTGTCCCTGGCAACCACCTATCTGTTCTCCGTTCCTATATTTTCACTTTTTCCAGAATGTCATGTTGCGGGAAGTCAGGGACCCCGAACGGAGGGACCGGCTGAAGCCATGGCAGAAGAACATAAATTGTGAAGATTTCATGGACATTTATTAGTTCTCCAAATTAATACTTTTATAATTTCTTACGCCTGTCTTTACTGCAGTCTCTGAACATAAATTGTGAAGATTTCATGGACATCTATCACTTCCCCAATCAGTACTCTTATAATTTCCTATGCCTGTCTTTACTTTAATCTCTTAATCCCGTCATCTTCGTAAGCTGAGGATGTATGTTGCCTCAGGACCCTGTGATGATTGTGTTAATGGCACAAATTGTTCGTAAAGCATGTGTGTTTGAACAATATGAAATCTGGGCACCTTGAGAAAAGAACAGGATAACAGCAATGTTCAGGGAACAAGGGAGATAACCATTATGTCTGACTGCCTGGGAGCTGGGAAGGACAGAGTCATATTTCTCTTATTACTGAAAACGGGTAAGAGAAATATCACTGAATTCTTTCCCCAGTAAGGAATATTAATAATTAACAGCCCTGGGAAAAGAATGCATTCCTGGGGGAGGGGGGGGCCTCTAAAATGGCCGCTCTGGGAGTGTCTGCCTTATGCAGTTGTAGGAAGGGATGAAACACGCCCTGGTCTCCTGCAGCGCCCCCAGGCTTGCTAGGATTAGGAAATTCCAGCCTGGCTAATTCTAGTCAGACCGGTTCTCTGCTCTTGAACCCTGTTTCCTGTTAAGATGTTTATCAATGACAATGCGTGCACAGTGGGACATGAAACTTCATTAGCAATTCTAGTTTCACCCTGGCCTTGTGACCTTGCCCTGCCCATTTGCCTTGTGATATTTTATTGCCTTTGAAGCATGTGATCTCTGTGACCCACACCCTATTCATACACTCCCTCCCCTTTGAAAATCGCTAATAAAAACTTGCTGGTTTTGTGGCTCAGGGGGCATCACAGAACCTGCTGACATACGATGTCTCCCCCGGACACCCAGCTTTAAAATTTCTTTCTTTTGTACTCTTTCCCTTTATTTCTCAGACTGGCTGACACTTAGAGAAAATAGAAAAGAATCTACGTTGAAATATTGGGGGCTGGTTGCCCCTATAATGTCACATAAGTAGAATCACACCATATGCAACTTTTTGGTTTGGATTTTTTCAGCTAGCACAATATATTTGAGATTCATCCATGTTGTGTGTATGAATAGTTTGCTCTTTTATTAATTAGTAGCATTCCATTGTACACGTGTACAACAGTGTGTTTACTCATACACCCATTGAATAACATTTGGATTGTTTGACGCTCTTGGCAATTATAAGTAAAACTGCTATGAACATTCATAGATGAGTTTTTGTGTGAATGTAAGTTTTTTTGTTGTATCTTAAATAGTATTTTAAGTACCCTGATTTGATCATTACACATTCTATGCATGTACCCCATAAATAAGTATGTCATAAATCATATGTAGCCCATAAATATGTACTATTACATGTTTGTAATAGTACCCCATAAATCTACCCCAAAATATGTACTATTATATATATATATATATACATTACTATGTATCAAAATTAAAAAATTAAAAAAATTTTTGAAGTAGATTTGTTGGGTGATACAGCACACACACACACACACACACACACACACACACACAGATATGTCACATTTTAAGAAACCATCCAACTGTCTTCCAGAGTGGCCGGACCATTTTGCATTCTCATCAGCAATTGGTGAGAGTTTGTATTGCTCTGCATGTATTCCAACACCTGGCATTATCAGTAATTTTTTTTTTATTTTGGCCATCTTAATAGGTGTGTAAGTCAAACTTTGATGATATTTTGACCAAGCATGAAAGAGTCCAATTCATTTTCTGTTGGTGGTATTTATGAACACTTCTGAGGGTGCTTCAGAGCTCAGTAGAGCTTCGGGATGTTATCAGGGATAATCTAAAAAAGGATTCCATTATCAATTAAGAGTTTAGGACTCAAGAAGTTTTTGTTTTTAATTAAGTAAGTTTCCATGCTACAAGACTACCCAGTATCTTTAATATGCCTATGTGCATAATGACTGTCCACAGGAAGAGACAGTAGGCAGTTTTCCCCTGAAATTTGAAGATGGAACTCTTTGGCCTATGGAGCATCCCAAAGGTTGAATATTGGGCAAAACTCATTTAGGAAATGCTGCTGTCATTCACAGAGAGAAGAAAAATAATCTGTGGATACTCAGTAACCATGCATTAACTGAAAACAGTTTTCTTCTCTACAAAGTGAACTTTTTCACTTAAGAAGTTCTCCTTCTTAATTTATTGATCCTCTTAAGAATAAGGTTTCCGTGACTCTTCTGAGATATCCCATCACAGAACTGTGATTAACTTAAAAAGACCCAAGACATTGAGATTTCTTGACTTCCTGCACAGGAGGCTGGTTCTTCATTGAAATGATATTTTCTTTCTTCCATGGCTGTCCCTCTGAGCAGAGCCATATTTTGGCATTGTGAGCTGTTCTCAATCACCAAAGACCATAAACTAAGCCAGGAAGACTTTGACCCATTGTTTTACCTCTGTTCTTGTACTCTTTACTGTCGTTAATTAACATGAAAGTTCCATGTTTTCTCCTTCCCCACTGGTCCAAGTGCATGGCCTGCCCTGAGGGACGGTGCGGTGAGCCTGCTCATCAGAGTACACATTCCCTGTCTCCAAGGATGCCTCTGGTATATTTCCTTTATCTGGAGTTGAAATTCTTCTCTTTGGGCTTTAAGCCCTAGTGGTGGTTAGCAGGCTTGGTCAGAGGTAGGAAGATTTTACTCTTGCTGGTGATACATCAAGAGGAAATTAATAAAGGATTCTGAACAGTGCTCAATCGACCTGAATCTAGAATTCTTGCTGAGATTGGGCTTTTAGGAACCCTGATGAAGAGATGAACTCAGCTCTCTGTTTCAACTGAGCTCGTCAATACAGCACTAAGGCAATTTGGCCAATATAACAACCCACCGTGAATCACTACAAAGCTGAAATTGTGTCCCTAGAGAGCTCACTGAAATGGACATGAGTATTTCATGAGAAAGGCTAGTTCACTGCAGAGGCAAAAGGTTCATCTAAATCAGTGTTTGTCGTTGCTGTTATGCAGCCAGCAAAGTGAGGTTTTCATTCTGTTTTGACTCCAGCTGTTTTCCTTCAGGGCTGCTCCTGCTCATGTGTCTGAGGCTTTCCCTGTTGGAGGCCTTTGGCTACCTCATCCCAAGGTGCACCTTCCATAGACGGTCTATCAGGCTGGCCAAGGGAAAGCAATTCTTGTACCCAAGACCCTGTCACCTCTTGCTACGACTCTCCTTATCCCTTGCATTTCTACCTGGTCCTGAAGGCCAACTGCTTCCTCTTTGACATCTCTTTTTTCACTCCATAATGATTCCTCTTCTAGCCTTTTATCCACATAGAGGGCCCTACCTGTGTGCCTGAGATGGAGTTGTCTGGGTTCATATGAGGATTCCCTACCTAGGATCCTCAGCTGGTATTTCTTCAAGAATGGCCAACAGACCAACTGCATCAGTACCACCTTAGGGTGCCTGTTAAAAATACAAATTAGGGGGGCCCATGGGATCATTTGCAGGAAGCATGGAATCTGCCTTTTAACAAACACCCAAATGTTTCTCTTTGCATTCGAGTTTTAGAACAATTGGCCCAGCCCTTCCCACCTATAGATCTGCCTGCTGGGCATCACCTCAGCTCATTTCTGCTTCTCTTTATAAGAAAGTCTTTTATATATTTGCAGATTAGCCCCATCTGTCTCAAGCCTACAAACTCATACTAATAAACGGCTTGTTGTAATTTTCTTTACCGCACTCCCATCCCCAAATAAAATCCCATCAATTTTTTATATCTCTGTTTTTTTTCTAGTTCTCATTGAAAGGGACTTACACTTATAGGCATGAGAAAAATAAAACAGTACAAAATTACTTAGAACACTAGAAAACTGAACAAAACATGTGAAACAACAGCGTTCAGACACTGGACTATGGACTGCCCAGGACTGTGACCCCTGAGAGAAGGGAAGCAGGGAGGGCAAGTCGGATAATCCTTCAGTCTTGCTGCCTGGAAGCAGTTTCTGAACTGCAGTTCAGGGAAGGGGAATTCAAACAGATTCTGGAAATCTCACCAAATTGAGACAAAATAAATCAGAGTTCAGGGAGGTCAAACAGCCAGAATGTGGGGCAGAGAACAGACAGGAGAGGATTTCACAGAGAAAGAATTCCAGAAATCTGAACAGGGGTCCCTTGAGTCTGAAAAACCAGTCACTATGTGGTTAGGATAAAACTCCACAAGGTGGAGCAAAGAATAATTTCCAGGAAAAGAACAATTACCAGAGAGCTGTAAGCCAAAAAGTTTCTAGAGCTTACACAGAAGTGGGAATCATTTGAATGTCCACCAGCCACAGGGTAGGGAGACTTCATTGAATTACAGAGATCCCACTCAGCAGAGACCCCAGAAGGGTCAAGTGTTAGGAATGCGACTAAATTAGTCCTAGAGTAAAGGCTACTCTAGATCTGCTTTATAAGAGCTTAAAAACAAGCTCTCTGTGGGCCACACTGATCCTCAAGTAATTTAACTGCCTGTCAGAACAAACTCCAACTTGTAAAGGAATAAAATAATATCTAGCACTCAACAACGAAAGAAATGCCTACATCAATAAAAAAATTACTAGATTTATAAGAAATAAAAAAGTGCCACATAACCAGTAAAAAAATCAGTCAATAAAAAAACTTTGAAATAATAAAGAAGATGAAATTATCAGATGAAAACATTAAAACAGGTATTATGAATGGGATTGATATGCTAAAATATTTAAATAAAAACATAAATATAATTATGAGAGAAATGGAAACTATAAAAGAGAAACCAATGAAAAGAATAACATCTGAAAACAAAATTTTACTGAGTGGAATTTACAGATCAGACACTCTAGAAGAACAGAGCAATGAACTTGAATCCAGAGAGACAGAGAGACAGAGAGAGAGAGATGACAAAAAACAAACAAACAAACAACAACAAAAAAACACTTGAAGAAATAGTCCCTGAAAATTTTCCAAAAATTGATGAAACCCACAGATCTAGGAACAAACCCCAATTAGCAGCATAAACACAATTAAAACAACACTAAGGCACATTATAATCAAATTGCTGAAAACCTGTGATAAAGAGAAAAATCTTAAAACTATTAAATAGCTGGAGAAAAGAGAGGCACATTATATCAGAGATAAATAAAGATTAGAATTATTGCAAACTTCTTATCAGAAATTATGCAAACCTTAAGACAATGAAGCAATATCTTTTAAGTACTGAAAGAAAAAAAAAGAAAAAATTATCAACCTACAATTCTATACCCAGTGCAAAAATAAAGGTGAAATAAAGACTTTCAGATAAGTAAAAGCTGAAAGAATTTCTCAACAGTAGGCCTTTGCTACAAGAATTATAATTCTTTATGAAGTTTTTCAGACAGAAGGAAACCAGATATAACCTGGATCTACACAAAGAAATGAAAAATGCCATATATAATTAGTATGTAGGTAAATGAGATGTTTTTTTCTTATTTTTACTTTTCTTAAAAGATAAATTTACTATTTAAAGCAAAATATAGTCACGCATTGCTTTGCAATGTGGATATGTTCTGAGAAATGCATCATTAGGCAAATTCATCATTGTGTGAACATCACAGGGTGTACTTACACAAACCTCAATGGTAAAGCCTACTACATACATAGGCTGTATGGTATAGCCTATGTTCTAGGCTACAAACCTCTACAGAGTGATACTGTACTCAATACTGTTGGTAATTATAACACAATGGTAAGTACTTGTGTATCTAAACATAGCTAAACATAGAACAGATACAGTAAAAATAAAGTATAAAAGATAATAAATGGTACATGTGTATAGGGCACTTACCCTATATGGAGCTTGTAGGGCTGGAAGTTGCTCTGGGTGAGACAATGAGTAAGTGGTGAATGAATGTGAAGGCTGAGGACATTACTGTACACTACTGTAGACTTTACAGACACTATATACTCAGGGTACATTAAGTTTATATAAATATTTTTTTCTTCAATAATAAATTAACCCTAGCTTCCTGTAATCTTTTTACTTTATAGGCTTTAAAAAATTTTAAACTTTTTGGCTCTTTTGTAATAGCATTTAGTTTAAAACACAATCATATAGCTGTACAAAAATATTCTTTCTTTATATCCTTATTTTATAAGCATTTTTCTATTTTTAAAGATTTTTAGACACATTTTAAATGTTTTTGTTAAAAACAGACACAAACACACATATTAGCCCAGGCCTACACCAGGTCAGGATTGTCACTGTCTTCCACCTCCACATCTTGTCTCACTGGAAAGTCTTCAAGGCAAAAACACGCATGGAGCCGTCATCTCCTATGATAACAATGCCTTCTTCTGATACCTCCCAAAGGACCTGGCCAAGGCTATCTTACCATTAACTTTTTTTTAATAATGTAAGCAAAAGGAATACACTCTAAAATAACAATAAAAAGTATAGTATAGTAAATACATAAACCAGCAACATAGTCATTTATTATCACTATCAAGTATTACATATTGTGTGTAATTGTATGTGCTATACTTTTATATAACCGACAACACAGTTCATTTGTTTATACCAGCATCACCAAAACATGTAAATAATGTATTGTGCTACAATGTTACTAAGTGATAGGAATTTTTCAGCTCAATTATAGTCTTATGGGATCACTGTTTTGTATGGGGTCCATCACTGACCAAAACATTGTTATGTAATGTATGACTGTAGTAACAATCTATTATGGGGTTTATAACATATATAAAAGTAAAAATCTATTAAAACAATAGCATAAAGATAGAAAGTATACTTTGGAACTATGGTGTTACAGGTTTCTTTTCTTTTTTTTTTTAGATGGCGTCTTGCTCTGTCGCCCAGGCTGAAGCGCAGTGGCGCGATCTTGCCTCACTGCAACCTCCGTCTCCCAGGTTCAAGCGATTCTTGTGCCTCAGCCTCCCAAGTAGCTGGGATTACAGGCACGTGCCACCTTGTTGGCTAATTTTTGAATTTTTAGTAGAGATGGGGTTTCACCATGTTGGCCAGGCTGGTCTCAAACTCCTGACCTCAGGTGATCCGCCTGCCTCGGCCTCCCAAAGTGCTGGGATTACAGGTGTGAGCCACTGCACCCGGCCTACAGGTTTCTTAATTGTACTTGAAGGAGTATAATATTGTTTTTTTCATTTTTGTCATTTTTAGAGACATGTTCTCAGCTATGTTTCCCAGGCTTGGAGTGCAGTGGCTATTGACAGGTGTGATCATTGTACACTAATGCCTTGAACTCCTGGGCTCAAGAGATCTTCCCACCTCAGCCTCTGAAGTAGCTGGAACTACAGCTTGCCTGGCTAAAAATTCATATGTTAAGTCTTAGAACAACACTTAAAAATAAAGAAAACAGAGAAATAGCTAATAAGCCAATATTAGAGATAAAATGGAATCCTAAAAATATAATCAGTTATCCAAAGAAGGCAGGTGAAGTGAAATAGCAACAAAGAAAATATGAAGATAAATAAAATACAAATAGCAACATGGTAGACTCAATTCCAACCATATTTGTAATTATAATAAAGAATCTAAACACTACTATCAAAAGTCAGATATTGCCAGAGTAGATATAAAAATCGAGACCCAATTATATGAAGTCTACAGACACGCTCATTAAATATGAAAACACAGGTGGATTAGAAGTGAAAGAATGAGAAAAAATATACTATGCAAACACTACCCATTAAAAAAAGCTGATGTGGCTATATTAATATCAGGAAACTAGATCTCAGAACAGGAAATATTACCAGAAATAAAGAGGAATATTTTATATTGATAAAGGGGTCAGGAAGACATCATAATTTGAAATATGTAAGCACCTAAAAACAAAGCCTCAGAAAAAATCAAAACTGAAGGAACTGAAAGGAGAAATAGACAAATGCATAATTACAGTTGAAGATTCTGTTACTCTTCTCTCAGTACTTGATAGAACAAATAGACAGAAAATCAGTCATGGAGATATATGAGACCTAAACAATACATGATATTGGATGTTTAGTAGGACTGTTGTCCTGTAATTAGCACTGGGGGCTACAGATAAAAATAACAGGCTTTAAGTACCCTATATTCTGGAGAAAGCTGCCAAACATTGGGGCCAGCACCTCCCTAGTAGAAGACCATCAAATTAGCCCTGCTCCTCCCTACCGTCATGCCAACAACTACCTGCCTTACTGCCAACCCATATGAGGAAACAACTGGGAGAATGAAAGTTGGAAGTCTTCGGGCCTTGGGAAGTGTCCAAAGCTCATAGCAACAAGCCTTTGAGGTTGGAGACCAGAAAGACTTGTTTTCTGGTCATGACCCTGCTGACCCAAACAGGATCTGGTCCAGACAGGACAAAGTAAAAAAACCATCAGGAACCGCCAGGTGGCGACAAAAGTGATCCCTAGCTGCCCTCATTGCTCATTAGCATGAGACACTCCCACCAGCACCATGATCATTTATAAATGCTATGGCAACGACCTGGAAGTTACCATTCCTTTCCTAGAAAGTTCTAAATAACCCACCCCTCAATTTGCATTAACCTGTCCCTTAATTTGCATATAATTGAAATTGAGTATCAACACAGTTGCTAAGAACCCATGCATTGCTGACTCTGGGCTGCCTATGAGGTAGTGCTGCTCTACAAGGAACAGTACCGTTCAGTAAAGGATTGCTGTCTAACACCACTGGCTCGCCCTTGACTTCCTCCCTGGGTGAAGCCAAGAACCCTTCCGGCCCAAGCCCCAGTTTGGAGGCTTGCCTGTCCTGCGTCAGTTTCCCAAAACATAAACTTTGGAAGGGGCCCATAAGAAAATTCCTTGTAGAGCTTGAGGGCACCTGCCTAAAGCTAAGACTACTACCTCTCTCTAGGCAGGATCCTTGCTGGGTTACTATAAACCAGCAGTCCCATAATGATACTGTCAGCAGGAGAGACAGCAATTGGAGAATGGTTGGAAAAGATTGGTCTGTAGTTCTTGGAGTTGTGCAGCACTTGTGAATTTACAAAAAGGCACTTTATTTTCTGGAAATTTCTGGAAGTAAAAAGCTTATAGGAGCAGCTAAAGGTGGAGGGGGAAGCAAGGCCTTGGGTAGTGGTTATTAGTATCCCCTCCCAGCTCTGGAGGCAACTCACAGAGTTCGGAGGGGATCACATATTTCCTGTGGCCCCACATACAAGTAGCCAGAAGATGGAGGAGACAGAGGCCGCAGGGAGGCCTGGGGGCAAGAGAGGCCACTCTCAACGCAGGATCCTGAACTCTGCCTCTTTTCTTCTTCTGGTCTTGAACACCACAGGAATTAGGCCTTGAGAATAAGTGAGATTCAAGAGAATAATAATCCTCAAATCAGACCCCCGCTCCCCGCTACACCTTCCTTCCACGATGCTGCAGTGAGCGGCCGGTGAGAGCAGCCCACATCCTCCTTCCTAACAGGCCCCTGAGCTCTGCGGAGCTGTGGAGGAGGGATGAGCTCAGGTTGAAATCCGACCTGAGCCTGGAATTTGAATAATTCGAAGTGACTGGAAACCCACAGCTCTGCCAAAAATGTTGCTAAGGTAAAGAAAGAGGGGAATTAACAGAGCACAGTGATTGGAAAAACATTACACTATTTCGAGCTAATATCCCACTGAGCTGAGAATGCTTAACAAAACCAGACTGAGTATTACTACGTATCCAAACTGTGCACATATTTGTCATGGCTGTCACCATATTGGTATGTATTACATTATATTTATATGCAATAGGGTGCTTAATAATGCACCTATTGTTGAGCATTTAGGTTATTTCCAATATATTCTTTTTTAGAAACAAGCTTGCTATAATTGGTATAAATTGCTCTATTTTTCTTCTTAGCTATTTCCTTAGTTATATGCCTCAGCTCTCAACTAAAATGGCATTTACTAATGGAAAGTCTTTGCTCCCCTGCTAAAGTCTGGGTTAGACTTCTCTCCTATACCACCCTTTGGCTCACCGCTTCAGTGCCTGTCACTCTATTGTGATATCCCATCCGGACAGCAAATGTGTATAAGTTGGTTTTCCTTCCGTTGTAGGTGACAGTGTGCTGTTCATACTGGCTTATACACAAAACGGGCCGTATTGGCTCACACACTGAAAGTCCAAGGGTGGAGCTGACTACAGGCCTTTCAGTCCTGAGACTCAGAGGACACCATCTGGCCATTTCTCTAATGTCTTTGCCCTGCTGTCTTTGCCCTGCCTTTCTCCAGGGGTTATTTCATTTTTAGGCTGACACAGCCCAGGGAATGGAGATGCCTACAGCAGCGCCAAGCCTCATACCTTTATACAATACGGCAGAAGAAAATGTATCTTTGCCACAAGCCCGAGCAAACATCTTTATTCATCTCATTAGCTCCACATGAGTTATGTGCCGTCTCTGAACCAATCATAGTGGCCAGGGGGTGAAATACAATAACTGACTTAAAATAGGTGTAGCTGGATGAGTGGACCATCCATTCACAGGGTGGAAAATGAGGAAGGGGTGTTTCTTTTTTTCTTTTCTTTTCTTTCTTTTTTTTTTTTTTTTTTGAGATGGTCTCCCTCTGTCTCCCAGGCTGGAGTGCAGTGGCGCCATCTCCGCTCACTGCAAGCCCCGCCTCCCAGTTTCACGCCATTCTCCTGCCTCAGCCTCCTGAGTAGCTGGGACTACAGGCGCCCGCCACCATGCCCGGCTAATTTGGTTTTTGTATTTTTAGTAGAGACGGGGTTTCACCGTGTTAGCCAGGATGGTCTCCATCTCCTGACCTCGTGACCTGCCCGCCTCGGCCTCCCAAAGTGCTGGGATTACAGGTGGGGTGTTTCTTAAAGAAGGTTTCGAGTACATTTAACACAAAGAGGAAGCATGTGTCACCGGTAGAGGGTCGTGACTGCAAGTTGTCCAGGTTCTTGGCGTTTTGAACAAAGAATTGGACAAAATGTTCTTCAAAGAAAGAAAGAATGAAGCAACAAAAGAACGAAAGCAGGGATTTATCGAAAACGAAAGTACAATCCACAGTGTGGCAGCACACCCGAGCAGCTGGGCAAGGGCCCAGATACAGAATCTTCTTGGGTCCAAATGCCCCCTAGAAGTTTCCCATTGGCCATTTCATGCTCACCTCATGTAAATGAAGTGGTAGCTCACAATCAGTCTGATTGGTTGCAGAAAGCAGCCAACCAGAGGCTGGAGTGAAGTTACAAAGGTCACACTGCTGTGCAAACATCTGCTCGGTTACAAAAGGCAACCAATGAGAGGCTAGGATGAAGTTACAAAGTTATGCTTCTATGGAAACAAAGACTTGGCCTGCAACCAGTCTGATAGGTTGTGGAAAGCCAATTTCCCATCTGCTGTGCAGAAAAGGTAGGGGGTTTGTAAAGGGAGTAGTAGCCTCTGGTCTTTTTGTCACTTAGGCGTGGAAAGTTAGGGTTTTCCTTTCAATTTAGTTCTAGGAAGTTGGCGTGAAACAGCCTTAGGTTCCCTGTCTCCAGACCCTATTCTCCTGCCTCACCTGGATTGTGAGCCCGGAAAATATATATTCACTACATCAATAAATGTGTTTCTTTCCCTCCGTAGGATTGTAAGCTCTCAGGGCGGGGATTATATGGACTTCACCACTGTATTCACAGTACTCACAACAGTGCCCAGTGCATAGAAGGAAAATGCTTAGTGACTATTCATTGAATGAATAAATTCCCCAAAGTGGAATAACCAGGTTGGAAGAGCTAAACATTTTTTAAGACCTTATTACCTGTTGCCAAATTGTTCTCTAGAAAAGAAAGTACCAATTTATAGTAGAATTGTGGTTAAAAAAACACAACAGTATAATAGTAATATGTGCTAGGATAGCTATTTATACAAAATATTGCCAACAAGGAATTTTATTGTTTTAATTAATTTTTGGTAGTACAATATGTTTTTAAAGTAGATTTTTATTTTTATTTTATTTATTTATTTATTTATTTTTATAAAGATGGAATCTTACTATGTTGCCCAGGCTGGTCTCCAACTCCTGGGCTCAAGCCTCCCAAAGTAGCATGATACAGGTGTGAGCCGCTGTGTCTGCCCTTAGCAGATTTTTAAAGCTGCTATCTTCTACAAGCATTTTTCTGTTAACAAAGTTGATCATCTGCCCAGTGCTGATATTAATTATAAATTTGCCTATATGTTTTTATTTTTATTTTTTTTGAGACAGGGTCTTGCTTTGCCATCCAGGCTGGATTGTGGTGGTGTGATCTTGGCTCAAGTTATCCTCCTTCCTCAGCCTCCTGAGTAGCTGGGACTACAGGTGTGTGCCTCTAAGCTCAGCTAATTTTTTTAAAAAATAAATTGAGATGGGGTCTGACTATGTTGCCTGGGCTGATCTTGAACTCCCGGGCTCAAGTGATCCTCCCACCTTGGCCTCCCAAAGGGCTGGGATTACAGATGTGAGCCACCGTGCCTGGCCTACTTTTTTAGTTTCTTGTAGGGACTGGACCTCATTATATTGCTGAGGCTGATCTTGAACTCCTGAGCTCAAGTGATCCTCCTGCCTCGGTCTCCCAAAGTGCTGGGATTACAAGAGCAAGCCACCACGCCCACCCTGCCTACCTATTTTTTTAAAGACATTCAGTAATATTTTATGAATTTTTTTCTCTAAATTACATCTTCCAGTACATTTCCACAGTGATTGGTCTCTTAGGACTTTTTTTTTTTTTTCCTTTGTTGAGCCAGGATCTCACTCTGTCACCTAGGCTGGAGTGCAGTGGCACAATCATGGCTCAGTGCAGCCTTAACCTCCTGGGCTCAAGTGATCCTCCCACTTCAGCCTTCATGAGCAGCTGGAACTATAGGCATGAGCCACCATGCTGGCCTAATTTTTAAAAAGTTTTTTTGTAGAGATGGGGGTCTCACTATGTTGCCCAGTATTTCTGAGGATTTTAAAAACTGTGATAAAATATATAACATAAAACATAGCATCTTAACTATTTGAACTGTGCAGTTCAGTAGTGTTAAGTACATTCACGTTGTTGTGCAACCAATCTCCAGAACACTTTCATCTTGCCCAACTGAAATTTTATAGCCATTAAACAATAACTCCTAACTTTTTCCTCCTCCTCCTGTCCCCTGTCAACCATCATTCTACTTTTTGTCTATTGCTTGAATAATCTGGGTACCTCATATAAGTGGAATCATAAAGTATTCATCCTTTTGTGATTGGCTTATTGTGACTTAGCATAATGTTCTCAAGGTTCAACCAGGTTGAAGCATGTGTCAGAATTTCATTCCTTTGTAGGGCTAAATAATATTTCATTGTATGGATATACCACATTTTGATTTTCCATTCATCTGTTGATGGACATTTCAGTTGTTTCCACCTTTGGGCTACTGTGACTATTGCTGCTATGAACGTAGGTTTCAAATATCTGTCCAAGGCCCTGTTTTCCACAGCAGCTATCATCTTACATTCCCAGCAACAGTGGACAAGTGTTCCAACTTCTCCATATCTTGGCCAGTGCTGCTTCTCTTTCTCCTTCTCCTTCTCCTTCTTCCTCTTTTGAGATGGGGTCTCACTCTGTCACCCAGGCTGAGGTGTAATGGCACAATCTTGGCTCACTGCAACCTCTGCCTCCTGGGTTCAAGTGATTCTCCTGCCTCAGCCTCCCAAGTAGCTGGGACTACAGGTATGTGGCACCACACCTGGCTAATTTGTGTATTTTTAGTAGAGACAGGGTTTCACCATGTTGTCCAGGCTGGTCTTGAACTCCTGACCTCAGGTGATTCACTGCCTTGTCCTCTCAAAGTGCTGGGATTCCAGGTGTGAGCCACCATGCCTGGCCAAATATGTGAAAATTTAAAATGCATTTATGCATTATAAGAGGGGAGGGTTATATTCTCAAGGAGCTAGAAAAAATTGTAAAATTGCTTTTTATGCCTTATGACTTGAAATTTGATGACATGCTTTTCAAATTCTTTAATTTTGTTCTTTTCTTTCACAGCTGAACCCACTCTCAACCAGCTTAATTCCAAAGAACACCCAACCATGGTTAAAATTTTTCACTTTCAGCATACCTAATGTTTTGCATCATGATTTCAACCATGTTAAGTTTATGAGACCTATTCTTTTTTTTTATCACAATTATTGGTACTTTCATTTTTCTTTCTACTTTATAAGACAATAATGCAATAAGATGTTTAAATACCTACATTATTGTACAGATGAAAATGATGCCACTGCCCAAACATTGTTGTTGGCCAGGCAAGGCCACTTGAAACTGTAGATCAAAATGCTCACCTATTAGTGGAGTATGACCATCTGAACTTACCAAAAGTAGTTTCAAGTTGTATACTTTAAGAAAGTGCAAGCTATTTGGAAGTTGGATACATGAAAGCCAAAGATTTCCAAAAGTGGGTTTCCAAAGTTCAGACACTTTAATACTAATTTCATTACTTTTACATTTATTGAGAACCTACTGCGTGAAAAGTGCAAAGTTTGGTTCTTGGGATGGGGTGGACTGTATGAGGAAAAGGGAAAATAAGGATACTTCCTTAAAATCTGGTGGTGGAAAAAGAAGCATACAAAATAATTTTAAAACAAGGAAGACTCCAATAAACCCTTCTCAAATTCTTCTAACAAATTGAAGAATGGAATACTTTCTTTTTTGAATTATATATCATCCTTTTAATACAAGCTTAAAAAATCTGGAACAATAGAAACTGTACAGATTTGATCAATCTTTTTGTTTTGTTTTTAAACTAAAATCTCTAAACACACCAGTGTCCCATTCCAAAATATTGCACAACATTCTGAATACGAAACTCTTGCTTGTATTCCTCCTTCACTAAAGAAAAAAGTTCGTGATCCTGCTCCCCAGGCTCCTCTCCAGGCTTGCCTCAATGCCCCCTTCCCATCCCTAGAGAGAAAACTAGAGAATCTATAGCTCACTGCATTGAGAAAAAGACATCATTCTGGACTAACAGTCTGAAGAATGGAACACTTTCTAACTCATTCTGTGGCCGGAATTGCCCTGATACCAAAGCCAGATAAAGATACTATGAGAAAAGACAGCTACAGACCAATATATTTTGTGAATATTGATACAAAAATTCTCAACAAAATACTAGCAAACTGAATTCGGCAGCAAATACTAAGAGAATTATTCACTATGACCAAGTGGGATTTATTCCTGGAATGCAAGTATGGCTTAACACATAAAAATCAATCAATGTAATATACCACATTAACAAAATGAACAAAAAGAACATATGATCATCTTGATGCAGAAAAAGCATTTGACAAAGTTCAAAACCTTTTTGTGCTAAAAACACTCAACAAACTAGGAAGAGAAAGAAACTTTCTCAATATAATAAAGGCCATGTATGAAAAAAACCACAGCTAACATTATACCCAATGGTGAAAGACTGAAAGCTTTTCCCCTAAGATGAGGAATACTTTCACCACTTCTCTTGAATATGTACCAGAAGTTCTAGCCAGAGGAAGAAGGCAAGAAAAAGAAATCAAAGGCCTCCAAATTGCAAATAGAAAAGTAAAATCATCTTTGTTTGCAGATAACTTGACTTCAAATGTAGAAAACCCTAAAGAGTCCTCAAAAAGAAAAAAACAAAAAACAAAAACCTGTTAGAACTAATGAATGAATTCAGCAAAATTGCAGGATACAAAATCAACACTGAAAAATCACTTTCATTCCTGTAAACAGCAGTTACCAACCTGAAAAGGAAATTTAAAAATCAATTCAATTTATGATAACATCAAAAGAATAAAAAACTTAAGAATACAAGTAGCCAGGCAGTTGAAAGATGGCTACAGAACATTACTGAAAGAAATTCTAAAAGATTTAAATTAATGAAAAGACATCTCTTATGATCTGAATGTTTATGTGCCCCCCAGATTCCTACATTGAATCCTAACCCACAAGGGGATGGTATTAGGAGGTGGGCCTTTGGGAGGTGATGAGGTCATGTGGGTGGAGCCGTCATAACTGGGATTAGTGTCCTTACCAAGAAAGTTAAAGGGAGCTCATTTGCCTTTCCACTATGTGAGGACACAGGGAGAAAATATCATCTATGAGGAAGCAGGCCCTCACTAGACACTAAATAAGATCTTGGCAGCCTCCAGAAGTGTGAGAAATAAATTTCTGCTGTTTATAAGCTACCCAGTGTATGGTATTTTGTTATAGCCAAATGAAATAAGACAACATCCTATGTTCATGGATTAGAAAACTTAATATTGTCAATATGACAATACAAACCAAAAGAATCTACAGATTCAATGTAATTCCTATCAAAGTTCCAGTGGCATTCTTTGGAGAAATAGAAAAAGCCATCCTAAAATTTATGTAGAATCTCAAAGGACTTCCAATAACCAAAACAACATTGAAAAAGAAGAACGAAGTTTCAGGTCTCACACTTTCTGATTTTAAAACTTGCTACAAAGCTATGGTAATCAAAACAGTGTGGTACTAGCTTAAGGACAGATATATAGATAAACAGAATAGAATAGAGATACCAGAAATAAACTCTCATGTTTACAGTCAATTGTTTTTGACATGATTTTCAAGATCATTCAATGGGGAAAGGACAGTCTTTTCAACAAATGATGCTGGGAAAACCAGATACCCACATGCAAAAGGATGATTTGGACTTACATCTTACACCATATAAGAAAATTAACTCAAAATTGATCAAAAGTCTAAACTTGACAGCTAAAACTCTAAAATTCTTAGAAGAAAACATAAGGGAAAAATCTCATGACTTTGTGTTTGACAATGATTTCTCGGATATAGCACCGAAAACACAGGCAACAAAATAAAAAATAGATAAGTTGTGTTCATCAAAATTGAAAAACTCTGTGCATCAAAGAATACTGTCAAGAGAGTAACAAGACAATGTACAGAATGGGGGAAAATATTTGCAAGTCTTATATCTGATAAGAGAATAATACTTAGAATATATAAAGAACAAATAAAACTCAACAACAACCCCAAAATAAAACAATTCAGTTTAAAAATGGACATCAATAGTTATAGCAGCATTATTCACAATAGCCAAAGATGGTAATAACCCAAGTGTTCACCAACAGATAAATAAACAAGTTTAGTATACATATACAATGGAATATTATTCAGCCATAGAAAGAAAGAAAATTCTGATACATACAACAACATGGATAAACCTCAAAGACATGATGCTAAGTGAAATAAGCCAGTAACAAAAGAACAAATATTGTATGATTCCACTTATTGAGGTACCTACAAAATATTGTATGATTCCACTTATTGAGGTACCTACAATAGGCAAATTCATAGAGACAGAAAGTAGAAGGGTGATTGCCATGGTGTGGGGGGAGGAGGGAGTGGGAGTTATTATTTTTTATTATGTTTTTTAAATTTAATTTTATTTTTTCAGATTGAGTCTCACTCCGTTGCCCAGGCTGGAGTGCAGTGGCATTATCTCAGCTCACTGCAACCTCCACCTCCCGGGTTCAAGCGATCCTCCTACCTCAGCCTCCTGAGTATCTGGGAATACGGGCATACGCCACCACACCCAGCTAGTTTTTGTATTTTTAGTAGAGATAGGGTTTCACCATGTTGGCCAGGCTGGTCTCACTGCTGACCTCAAGTGATCTGCCCACCTCAGCTTCCCAAAGTGCTGGCATTACAGGTGTGAGCCACCACAGCTAACCCTGGAGTTATTATTTAATGAGTATGGAGTTCCTATTTGTTATGATGAAAATTTCTGGATAGTGGTGATAATTACATAACATTGTGAATGTGTTAATGCCACTGAAGAGTTCAATTAAAAAATGGTTAAAATGGTAAATTTTGTTAGGCATACTTTATCACAATATAAATAAAAATAAAGGGAACAATCCAAGCAAAGGAGTGGAAGCTGATGCTCCTTACCAGGACTGTAAAAAATACAGTTTGTTTGGATGACTCCATGAACAGCAGATGCAGTTCCTTGCTTGGCAGTGGGAGAGGAGCTTCAGGGGTCTGTGGAGCAGGCTGCTGGCCGGGCCTGCCTGGAGCATCAGGACCTGGGCAGTGGTAGAGAATCGGGTACATTGTACAATGTAAGCTCCAGGAAGTCAGGTGCCCTCTCTGCATTCATCGTTTTGTCACTAGCCCCTGTCACACAGCAGAAAATAGGCATTTTTCCAATGAATGAATGAATGAATAAAACATACAGAGCAGTGGGTCTCAATATGTATCATAATATATAGTATCAGAATGTATCTGCACATATTGGAATCTCTGGAGGGCTTTCAAAACACAGCTTGCTGGAGTCAGATCTCTGATTCAATAGATCAGGGATGGGGCCTGAGAAGTCGCATTTCCAACAAGTTCCCAGATGCTGCTGCTGCGGCTGATTGGGGGCTACACATTGAGAACCACTGATTTAGAAGAAGGAGCAATCATCATGGCTGAAGGACCAGGTTCCTGCTCACATTTCCAAGTCAATACGTAAACTTCTATATTCTTTCAAAAATCCGAGACTGCAGGTGAAGAGATAACTCCCTAAAAGAACCGTAGTCCTCAACGAGCCTGTATATGGGCCCAAACAGACCTGGATTGACATTCCAAGTCCGCTGCTCTCTACCTGTGTGACTTTGGGTGCGATATCCAGTTTCTCTGGACTTCAAATACTGTATCTGTAAAATAGAGATGATAGTAGCAAACTCATCATAAGGATTAAATGCGGTAGAGTAAGTAACAAATAGAAGCCCCCTTTACCCAATTTCTACCTAACCCACTTGCCATTTTAACCATCTCTGTCTTCCTGAGTGAGGCCAGATACGGGCCCATGGCCCCCGTGGCCTTCCTACATGCCCTCCCTCACCTGCTAAGACAAAGGCATTCCAAAATTAGGTGCATCTGTTATCAAACCTGTTTTACTAATTGCAACTACAATATGTAATATGTAATTTAATTAAACATTACCTAAATCCATGAAATATGAGTGCAGAAGAAAGAGCATTGTTGTTTCTATGACACAGTAACTTAAATGCTTTGGAGAGTCTCCATAAAGGCAAGCAGTTAAAATATATTACTATCAGATTACGTGTATGTGAGACAACTGTAAAGGAGTAGGGGAAACAGCAAACATCGAGAAAGACTCTCCATTGCTCACACGTATCTATAAGTTCCTGCTCCACTTTAAAGAGTCTTAAACTGGAGATCTTAGATGATGGATTGCAGATGTGGTTTAGCAATAATAATGATTTGGGACACTGGTCAGGGACCAGTACTTAAAGGCAGGGTTTTGAGCTTTAATCAATAGATTGGCAAAGAAAATGTACAGATCCATGTCTTAAGTTAAAGTAAAATGCTTAAGGTATGAGTATATCACTTTGTGCAGTTCCCTGCTTCGACTGACTTTTTAGCAGACCAAAATGCCAGTTCTATTCACACTGGATAAGGAGTTTTCACAGTACTTGGCACTGGCTAAATGTTATCTCCTTCCCCCATCACCACCCTACCACCACCTTGAAAGTTCGATTTCACACCCAAATGCCATTCCTGTTCTTTAACATTTTATCAGTAAATACACACTGTTGAAGTGCCTCCACGTTGCACCAAACCAGTGCTATTTGCAGAGAACATTCACTTAACCTTAGAGCATGGAGGCCCAGGACATTTCCATTTTACACATTCCAGAAACAGCTTCACCCCCTCACTCAGCAGAATCCAGAGAGGCCTGGGGAAGGTGGCAGACAGAGCTGAGGAGTAGTCATCCAACTTTTAATAAAAATAACAATATCCATCCTTTATGCAGCACTCTAATGATCACGAGCCCTTTGAAGATGTAGGTTAATCTCCTGACACCCCTCTGAGCTGGGTCCATGTTGTTCTTTTCTGCTTAGAAGGTTAGGGAGTGGAAGGAAGGAAGGTTAATTGACTTGTTGAAGGCAGCACTGCAACTTAATAGAAATGACAGAGTGAGACTCCAGGGCTGCAGGCGTTGCCAGCTGTGTGCCCTGGTCTCAGGTCTTTTGGTCTAGCTTTTTCCCCAGGAAATCGGGTGTGTTTTCTGATCACAATACTTTTACATAAAGTGTGTGTGTGTGCATACGTGAATGCGTGTATGTATGTATATGTACATGCATGGGCATATGTATCTTTCCTCTTACATGAGAAAACCTGCAAAAGAAATATTGTGGGTAATGATTCATCACACTTCATTTCTCCAGTCCCTCAATTGGTTAAAAAAAAAAAACTCAGCCCACAGGAGAATCACTTGAATCCAGGAGGCGGAGGTTGCAGTGAGCTGAGATCGCGCCATTGCACTCCAGCCTGGGCGACAAGAATGAAACTCCATTGCAAAAAAAAAAAAGAAAAAAAAAAAAAGATCGGCCATCCCCATCCTTGTTACATTGACTGATAACTTGTTTTCAAAGAAAAAAGCCAATGCCAAAGCCACCTGCATACACCTTCCCTGCCACCCCCAGCAATGGGAAAATCCTAGAGCAACAGCCTGATCTAGGCGAAGGATTGAGGCCTAGAGATGAACTCCTCAGAAACCCTGCTCTTCTTGCCCTCAGCAAGTCCTGGATATGGGACAGGCAGCCTACCCATATTTGGAGCATCCCATCATATTAGAAAAATAGGATTCCTTGGTCCTGAGGAACCTTTTCCATTTGCTTCCTTCCCACCCATCCTTTCCCATGTTCCTGAGATGTGGCCACAACTTAGGTTGGTTATAAATCATGACTGTGGCATGTAAGTCATTTGCACAGTATGGGGGTTGTTGTTTTGTGTTTTGGAGGAAAAGTTATGTAAACATCAGCTCCATCTGAGGAACAAATACAGGTTGGCCACAGACAATATAAACAGGGAAGATGATGAGATCCTGTGGTCTCTTCTGGGGCCAACCTGGAGAGCCTGTGGGACCAAAAGACCATCTATCAATGTCTATCATGCGGCTACTGTGTACTCAGTGCCCTTGGAGGGGTCCGGGCGATGGCACTCAGGATGAAACCCCAGGTGACCAGACGGAGGAGGGGAAAGGGGTTGGGAACAGAGGCATCGATTGGATAGAACTGTGTAAACGAATGAGGAGATTGAAGGTGACACGCAGACTCTGTCCGGCAAAGTTTCTGCTGCTGCCTAACTCCGTGGACACTGTAAGTGGATAATTCACTGTGTGCTGTAGCAGGAACTTTACCCAAACTCCTGTGGCACTTCTTCTTCCTCCTTTGCTTCCTGCTTCCCTCCCTAAACCACAGGGGTCCACCCAGGGCAGCCTGCCTTGCCCCACAAGGACAGCAGGGATCTGTGTCATCCAAAACCAGCTGGAACATCATAAAACCCCTCCTTCTGATCCTAGCAGGGCAGCAAATTGGGAATGAACTTCAACTGCTTCGTTTTCAATTAACTTGGACTTTCTAGGCCAAACGTGGGCCTAGAAACCCCTCGGGTGGTCCTTCTCTACTGGTAGCTTGAGATGGATTTAAAGTAAGCCACAGCACAGGAAAACTCACATTTGCAAATGAGTCCTTCCCAATTCTTTACAAAATAACTTTTTTTTTTTTGAATACATGGTTTTATTCTCTCAGGCTGGAGTGCAGTGGTGCTATCATGACTCACTGCAGCCTCGAACTCCTGGGCTCAAGTGATCCTCTTGAGCAGCTAGGACCACAGGTGCACACGGTGTACTTTAAAAAGTATTATTATTTTGTAGAGATAGGGTCTCACTATGTTGCTGGTCTTAAACTCCTGACCTCAAGCAATTCTTCCACCTTGGCCTCCCAAAGTGCTGAGAGTATAGGCGTGAGCCACTGTGACTGGCCAAATAATGTTTTTTGTTTGTTTGTTTGTTTTTTGAGACGGAGTCTTGCTCTTCACCCAGGATGGAGTGCAGTGGTGCAATCTTGGCTCACTGCAACCTCCACCTACTGGGTTCAAGGGATTCTCGTGTCTCAGCCTCCCAAGTAGCTGGAATCACAGACGTGTGCCACCTAGATGCTTGTAAGCACACACCATGCTCTCTTGTCTGGTCATGTATTTCCTTAGAAGCCTCAGGAGTCAGATCCTGATGGGGACCGGACACCTCCAGAATTCTCTCTCCAACAAAAGATTACTTCAAGGCCAGAACCCGCTCCCAGCTGAAGACTGACTACAAGATTGACTGTGATTAATTTATAACCTGGCAGGATCTACGGGGGCACCCCTTCACCAAATGGAACAGTAACTCAAGATGAGCCACTGGAGCAAGTCACGCCACCTGGCACCTCCTCGTACCCCTCTTCCCTCTTCTACATTCCAAACCCCTTCTTTAACAACCCCTGTGTTCCCTCCACAAATGGACGAGTGAAATTGCTTTCTACTCTTCTCCTTCTTAGCATGGATAATAGAAAAATCTCACCCCTTTGGTCATAACCCATTATTCTTTTGACTTCTTTCCACAAGAGGCAAGCATCCAGACCCTTTTGCTGGTTATAGGAACCCTTTCTAAACTCTGCTCTGGTCAGAACGCTGGCAGGTGGTAAGGTGGTGAGGTAGTTATCCACCTGCACTCCAGGCTACTTAAAGGGCCAGCAGCTATAGGGCAGAAGCCACAGTGCCCTCCAGTTCTGCCTTTAGGTCAAGGCCAGCAGGCTGCTGAGAGACCCCACCTGAATCCCTCTCTGAGAATTTGGTTGAAGGAAGTGCCGAGGTACCTGGTTATGCCCCTTCCTTGGGGACAGCCTCATTCAATGGCTGGCCTGTGCTGGATACAAAGGCCCAGCCCCGGCCTCATTCTAGGACAGCTTTGTGGGCTATCTCAGTTGCAGAGCCACTGTGAGGTCGAATGAGGCATTTGTTGCAACTGCATGACAGCTCAGTTTCCCCTTCTGTTCCCTCCCTTTCTCCCTTCTAGGTGCTGTTCTTCAGAGCAACCTCCTGCACACAACCTCCATCACGAGGCTGTCTCTCAGCAAAAAACCTAAGGGGCTACCCACCAGCACCCACATACAGGCCTGCCTCAAGCAAGGCTCGGTTCAGATGCATTACAGTGACAACACCGGCACTTCCTCCCTCACCCTTCCATGAGGGGATAACTATCCACTTTCCTGAGTTCAGTGTGTGTGTGTGTGTGTGTGTGTGTGTGTCTGTGTGTGTGTCTGTGTGTGTGTGTGTTTTAATTCATTCTGGAAGAACTGAGAACAAACTGGGTGATGTCCTATATGTAGCTGACTATGAGATTAGGTCAGGTTGGCTAATTAAGGCTAATTCACTTCCATCTCCTGAGATGAAAGCTATTGTGGGGCTGGCATAGAAACAATTAACCCTACTAGAGTTCAAAAGCTTATGTGAGCTGAGAGCCCATTCCCCACTCTGGAGCCATTCATTAATGATTCTATCCTTTTTCCCCATCCTTTACTCCCATCCTAACTTCCTTTACTGGTGGCATCAATTGTCATTCTGTGCAATTCCCTGACTGACAGCACAAATGCAAATTTAGAGAGCATATCACAGGGAGAGGGCACACTGTGCCTGGGGAGGTTGACATCTGTTTTTGCAGAGATGGTCCTTTTGCTTGGAAGCATATCACAGCCTAGCTAATGTGAGGATCAGTCTTGAGAGACGCCAGTAAGAAACGCAGAGGCATGGAAAATCCTCACTAATATAAATGAGTGTGGTTTACATTTGGCAGGGTGAGGGGATGCATTTTTAAATGAGAAAAACTGCAGCACTGTAGGTGAAATGAGAGGCTTCCCCTTGCAGGAGTGCATGTGTATCTCAGATCCAGGTGATGGATGGTTGAGGCTTGTAATTACCCACATCAACAGCCCTTTTGAATTGACCTGGTTATTTGCAAATAAGGTTGCTGACATTTTTATTTGCACTGTTTCCAAAATAGCTGCACTACTTTCTCATAGTGCATTTTTTTCTTAATCTTTGTGGTTGTGATCTTGGATTTCCCTAATGTTATAACTGAAAGCAAAGAAATAAGTTGGTAGGCTAGTTCAGCTGAGGCATCCTAGGGATGATGCAGGTCCAGGACCAGCCTCTAGAGAGAGTAAATCACACCAACCAAGGCCGTGGAGACTGGAGCAGAACCCAGACCACTGATTTACACTAGGGAGTGTGGGGATGAGATGGGAGTCAGAGAACTAGGCATTTATATGGACAAAAACATTCTGATGCCCTGTGCAAAACTTCCTAGCAAGGTATCTGAAAGAGTAATTGAGAGATTGAGCAGAGAATCAAAGCCAAGGCAGTTTTTTTGGGTAATTTCATCCAGTCTACGGAAGGCCATGGAAAGCTCTCTCAATGCCACTGTAGATTTTACTGTTGAAGTAACTATAATTTCTTAACACTTTTGAATTCAGAGTCTTTTTCCCTCCACTTTGGGAAGTGCTAGATAAACTGGGCAAACTGTTTGCTTCTGAACTCTCCCTTTTCCAGGTTCCATGCAACAGTTGGCAGTTACCATAAAAATGTTGCAGTTACCATAAAAATGTTGCAATTACCAAGATTACTACTTATCTGATAATAGTTAAAAAGCTGACTTTGAATGGTGACATTATCTGTCCTTGATCTCTGATTGTAGGGATGTACTTATGTGGTATTTCTCCATGCACTTGCTATACTCACGTTCTTTCCCTTCACTGTAACATTGAGACCCATATGATAGCCTTTAGGATTAGAAAGTACTGTTAAGACTTGAGTTGAGGAGCTAAGACACAGAAAAGGATGGCATAGTTAACAACAAGACAGAATGGGTGGAAGAAAGATGAATGAACAGATCAGTGGATTTGTTGTTGGGAAAATAAGCTAAGATCTACTCGCATGTAAAAAGAATTTGAAAGACAGAATGTTCCATGAGTGACAAAATCCTTGGTGTAGGGCAAAGGTATCCAAACTGCTAGTTGTGATTAGTAAGCCCAGGGTCCCAAACCCCAGAATGCTACCCATTATCTCAATAGATTCCTAAGGCTTTCTTTAGAGAAGAGTTCAGACCAGATCTACCTTTTAGTCCCAAATCCCTGTCTTGTTTCCTGACTTAGAGAACTGAGTTGTGAAAACTCCTTCAACCACTCTAGATTAAGAACCAGATTTCTGGCTTTAAGTTTTTTTTCTTTTGTTTTCACATGGCTTTCTAAAGATGATGGGAGGAGAGGAAGCACTTCTGAAAGAGACCTCCCAAATTCTGCTTCTCCATAAAAGTAACTAGAATACTGACAAAATTTACCAAAATTGGTGTTTCAGAACTCTGGAAATCAAAAGCTTTCAGAAATCCAATAAATATTTATTCAAGAAAAACAGCTGAACATCAGTAAGAACAATATGTGTTATGGCATTTTAACTTGTCCTCATTTTATTCCCCTCCCTCCAGCTTCACAATAATCTTAAAAATAAGTAGCCTGCAACTACAGTAGTAGCCCAACAGCCGCTGGAGGGGGAAGAATGAGTTTGAAGCTCCCCAGAAGCCTCGTCCCAAGATAATTGCCACTGTTTAAGTAGTCTGGAAGCTTATTAAGAAGCTCCATTCTCAGGACTTGTCTTTATTTAATCAGATTCAGAACTCAGTGCAAGCAGCCCTATCCCCAAGACATTTGCCAAACATTATGAGCAGCAATCGTTTAACATTCCAGCTGCCTGAAGTAGCATTTCCAGTTGGGGATAATAAGAGATTGATCAAAAAACTTAAAAGGAAAAACTTGGGAATGAGATCTCTATAAGGGGATTTGAAAATCTCCAACACAATCCTGGGAATCTACAAGTCCACACATATGTGCAGGACAATGTGCATTCCTAGGAAAGAACTGAGAAGGCCCTAATTTCTCCCATCTTTCTGGCCTTCAGGCTCTACCCAAGAAGTAATTAAAGACTAAGGGAGGTTGTAAACTGCCTGCCAGTACCATTGATGGCATACCTCAATACTCACACACAGTCACTTGACAAAGATTAGGAGATGTATGGGCTCAAGACATTTAAACAAATCTCTGTCCAGTCATTAGCTGACCACAAAGTTAATCAAGCAGAGACTTCAATGACTGCACATAACAAAGAACACAGATCTTACAGGTTGAGTCCAGGCAGATCACTAAACAAAGAGCAGGAACAACAACAGCAAAGATAAAACAACAAACTATAGGGAGTTGAGGGAATCTGATTTCCACAGATTCTGCCAAAAAGAGTTGCCATATTATATTATTTTAAATGCCTAGTTTTCAATAAAAAATTACAAGACATGCAAAGAGACAGGAAAGTATAGCCATACATAAGAAAAATAAGCAGTCAATATAAACTATCCCTGGGGAAGTCCAAATATTTGATTTACTAGGAAAAGGATCTTAAATGAGCTATTATGAATAAATATATTCAAAGAACTAAAGAAAATTATGTCTAAAAATTAAAGGAAATAATGAGAATGATGTTTTGCCAGATACAGAATATCTATGAAAACTTAGAATTATTTTTTAAAAGAAGCAAATAGAAATTCTTGAGTTGAAAGGTAAAAAGGTTGAGGCCAGGCATGGTGGCTCATGCCTGTAATCCTAGCACTTTGGGAGGCTGAGGTGGGTGGATCACCTGAGGTCAGGAGTTCAAGACCAGACTGGCCAACATGACAAAACCCGGTTTCTACTAAAAAATATAAAAATTAGCCAGGTGCAGTGGTGCGTACCTATAATCCCTGCTACTCAGGAGGTTGAGGCAGAGAATCACTTGAACCCAGGAGGTGGAGGTTGCAGTGAGCCAAGATTGCGCCACTGCACTCCAGCCTGGGTGACAGAGGGAGACTCTGTCTCAAAAATAAATAAATAAATAAATAAATAAATAAATAAAAAGGTTGAAATGAAAAACTCACTAAAGGGGCTCAACAGAAGATCGTAATTGGAAGAAAAACTAGCAAACTTGAAGACAGACCAATTGAAATAATCCTGTCTAAGGAACATAAAGAATCAAGGATGAAAAAAAATGAGTAAGTACCTATGAGATACTGTCAAACATACTAACATATACATAATGAGAGAAAGAGGAAAAAGAATATTTGAAGAAATAATGGCCAAAGCCATCTCAAATTTGATGAAAAAAATTAATTGATCTGTACATCTGAGAAGTTCAATGAACTCCAAGTAGAAAAACTTAAGAGAGTCATATCTAGACACATCATTGTCAAACTGTTGAAAGACAAGACAAAGAGAGAATTTTGAAAGAAGCAAAAGAGAAGCAATTCATTCCATACAAGCCATCCCCAGTAAGATTAACAGATGAATTCTTATTAGAAAACATGAGGCCAGAAGGTGGTAGTATGACATATTCAAAGTGCCTAAAGAAAAAGACTATCTCCCACCAAACTAGTTACCAAGAATTCTATCTCCAAGAAAACTATCCTTCAAAAAACAAAGGAGAAATTAAGACATTTAAGTAAGACATTTAAGAAACACTAAAGGGAGTCCTTCAGGCTGAAATGAAAAGACACTTGACAATAACTTGAATACACATGAAGAGATAAAGAAATAATAGTAACTACATAGGTAAATATGACGATTTGAATACATTTTATTTGTAAGTCTTTTCTCCTATCTGATTTAAAAGACAACAGCATAAAATAATAATTATAAAACTGTGTTAATGGGCTTATAATCTATAAAGGTGTAATTTGTATTACAATAATAGTACAAAGGATGGGGCACAAAGCTATATTGGAGCAAAATTCTTATATAATTAAACTAATTTTATTTATTTTTTTCCCAAATACTTATTCACTTTATTTGTATTAACATTTCTGAATAAACAACACTGATTTTGCCATTTACTAAAGGCCAGCTTTTGTTTTGTTTTGTTTTGTTTTATTTTGTTTTATTATACTTTAAGTTTTAGGGTACATGTGCACAATGTGCAGGTTTGTTACATATATATATATATGTGCCATGTTGGTGTGCTGCACCCATTAACTCGTCATTTAACATTAGGTATATCTCCTAATGCTATCCCTCCCCCCTCCCCCCACCCCACAACAGGCCCCAGAGTGTGATGTTCCCCTTCCTGTGTCCATGTGATCTCAATGTTCAATTCCCACCTATGAGTGAGAACACGTGGTGTTTGGTTTTTTGTCCTTACGATAGTTTGCTGAGAATGATGGTTTCCAGCTTCATCCATGTCCCTACAAAGGACATGAACTCATCATCTGTTATGGCTGCATAGTATTCCATGGTGTATATGTGCCACATTTTCTTAATCCAGTCTATCATTGTTGGACATTTGGGTTGGTTCCAAGTCTTTGCTATTGTGAATAGTGCCACAAGAAACATACATGTGCATGTGTCTTTATAGCAGCATGATTTATAATCCTTTGGGTATATACCCAGTAATGGGATGGCTGGGTCAAATGGTATTTCTAGTTCTAGATCCCTGAGGAATCACCACACTGACTTCCACAATGGTTGAACTAGTTTACAGTCCCACCAACAGTGTAAAAGTGTTCCTATTTCTCCACATCCTCTCCAGCACCTGTTATTTCCTGACTTTTTAATGATCGCCATTCTAACTGGTGTGAGATGGTATCTCATTGTGGTTTTGATTTGCATTTCTCTGATGGCCAGTGATGATGAGCATTTTTTCATGTGTCTTTTGGCTCCATAAATGTCTTATTTTGAGAAGTGTCTGTTCATATCCTTCACCCACTTTTTGATGGGGTTGTTTGTTTTTTTCTTGTAAATTTGTTTGAGTTCATTGTAGATTATGGATATCAGCCCTTTGTCAGAAGAGTAGCTTGCAAAAATTTTCTCCCATTCTGTAGGTTGCCTGTTCACTCTGATGGTAGTTTCTTTTGATGTGCAGAAGCTCTTTAGTTTAATTAGATCCCATTTGTCAATTTTGGCTTTTGTTGCCATTGCTTTGGTGTTTTAGAAAGAAGTCCTTGCCCATGCCTATGTCCTGAATGGTATTGCCTAGGTTTTCTTCTAGGGTTTTTATGGTTTTAGGTCTAACATTTAAATCTTTAATCCATCTTGAATTAATTTTAGTATAAGGTGTAAGGTAGGGATCCAGTTTCAGCTTTCTACATATGGCTAGCCAGTTTTCCCAGCACCATTTATTAAATAGGGAATCCTTTCCCCATTTCTTGTTTTTGTCAGGTTTGTCAAAGATCAGATAGTTGTAGATATGTGGCATTATTTCTGAGGGCTCTGTTCTGTTCCATTGGTCTATATCTTTGTTTTGGTACCAGTACCATGCTGTTTTGGTTACTGTAGCCTTGTAGTATAGTTTGAGGTCAGGTAGCAGGATGCCACCAGCTTTGTTCTTTTGGATTAAGCTAATTTTAAATTTGTATTAAAATTAATCTGTTTTTAATCTGAATTCTATTGTTTTGAGTTAAAAAGTTAATTGTAATTCCCAGGAAAACCACTAAGAAAGTGACTTAAAATATGGTTAAAGACACGACAAGGGAATTAGAAAGGTATGTTAGAAAATATCTAACTCAAAATAAGGTAGTAATGGAGAAATAGAAGAACAAAAAAGACATAAAATATAGCAAAAACAAATAGCAAAATTGTGGATGTAGGTTCTGCCTTATTGGCACAAGTTGAGTATTTCTTATCTAAAATGCTTGGGACCAGAAATGTTTTGGATTTGGGATTTTTTCAGATTTTGGAATATTTGCATTATACTTACTGGTCAAGCATCCCAAATCTGAAAATCTGGAAGCTGAAATGCTCCAATAGGCATTTTCATTGAAGAGCATCATGTTAGCAGCCAAAATGTTTTGGATTTTGGAGCATTTCAGACTTGGATTTTTGTATTTGGGATGCTCAACCTGTAACTACATTAAATGTAAATGGATGAAATATTCCAATCAAAAGACAGAGATTGCCAGCATGGATTAAAAAACCAAAAGTGACCAGGCATGGTGGCTCATGCCTGTAATCCCAGTACTTTGGTAGGCCAAGATGGGATGATTGCTTGAGCCCAGGAGTTTGAGACCAACCTGAGCAACATAGTGAGACCCCATCTCTACAAAAAATTAGCTGAGCATGGTGCCTTAGCTTAGGAGGTCAAAGCTGCAGTGAACCATAATTATGCCACTGCACTGGATCCAGCTTGAGTGACAGAGTGAGATCCTGTCTTAATAAATAAAAATTTTAAAAGTGATCCTACTATAAGCTGTCTATAAGAGATACATTTTAGAGTCAATGACACAAATAATAGATTGAAATAAAAAGATGAAAAAAGACATAACATACAGATAATACCCAAAAGAGAGGTGGAACAGCCATACTAATATCAGAGAAAATAGACTAGGTCAAAAATTGTTACTAAAGGCAAAGAAGGACATTTCATAATGATAAGAGGATCAATCCATAAGGAAGTTATGGCAATTATAGACATGTATGCACCTAATAAGAGGGCCTTGAAATACATGAAGAAAAATTGATCAAAATGAAAGGAGAAATAGACAATTTGACAATAATAGTTGGAGACTTCAATATCCTACTTTCAATAATGGATAGAACAACCAGGCAGAAGATCAACAGAGAAAAAGAAAGTGAGGAGATACTTCTTTCCTGGCAGGAAGACATTCTGGGCCTACTTTATGACCTATGTTCCATTAATGGGAAGAGAAAGAAGATACCTAAAGCAGAAAAGGCATCCAGGATTACCAAAAAAATGGTATTCCCAAAAGAGTGCCCTTTTCTGAAGAAGCAAAATATTTACCCTTTGGTTTCTCCTGAGAAAGTCTGTCCACCCTCAGCAATTTATTCTGTTGCTGGCCCTTGCTCCATATCAGCACTTCTTATTGGGAGGAGAGGTGAAATTAGGTGGAAGTGGAGTCTCTGGCCTTCCCTTAGAAATTAAAGTATGTTCCTGTCCTGACCTTTCTAAGCAAGATTGATTGCCTGTTCTTTGGGAGAAATGGAGGCACAAGGGAGTGACATCAGCCTCCCAACATTCCTGAAAATATCATGGCAGGATCAGTTATTCACCTGAGGAGGCAGGAAATATCAGGAAGTGGTCATCTGGCCACTTTTAGTTTAGAGCTTGTGACTCACAGTTCCACATGGCTTGGGAGGCCTCACAATCATGGCAGAAGGTGAAGGTGGAGCAAAGTCATGTCTTACATGGCAGCAGGCAAAAAGAGTGTGTGCAGGGGAACCTCCCCCTTTATAAAACCATCAGATCTTGTGAGACTTACTCACTATCATGAGAACAGCATGGGAAAAAGCTGCCTCCCTGATTCAGTTACCTCCCACCAGGTCCCTCCCACTATGCATGGGAATTATGGGAGCTACAATTCAAGATGAGATTTGGGTACAGACACAGCCAAACCATATCAGAGCTCTTGGTATGATATATATGTTCAAAAAAATGTGAAAAAGGGAGAATATACAAAATTTAATCAAACATCAATAGAAGAAAAACACTAAGGAATTTCTGCCTCAATTGAAGAGGTCTATATTGTTTCTATACATAATTACCTGAGGAAAGTCTAGTGTTTTTTCTCCCCCAAAGATTGCCAAACTTTTTGCTGTGTCACTGGGCAAGCAATGATGGATCGATTTATGTTCAACACTCCATGGGGAATGCATTGCTGCATACGTTAAAGCTCAGTTTCTGCTACCTTGTAATTTATTGACTAATTTCTTCGATCAAGTCCATTTAAGAGGTTTAGTAAGTTTCTAGTGTACTTTAATGACATTTTACTGATACCCCCCTAGAATCGTACTTGTTAGCATTCTTTAAACAACTTTATAAACTTTAATCAGTTAATTTTCACAATACTCCAATGAGGTTAGGTGAGAATTAATTCCGCTTTTATGGAAGGCCTCCTGGAGTAATTCTCATACATGAGTGGGCATCAAAATAGTCTAGGTTGCTTGTTAGAAGGGAAGATTCTTAGGCTCCATCCTCTAGGAACCTTTGATTCAATAGGTGTAAATGAGGGTTAAATCCCTGTACTTATTTATTTATTTTTATCTTTAGAAACAAGGTCTCATTCTGTCACCCAGGCTGGTGTGTAGTGGTATGATCATAGTTCACTGCATCCTTGAACTCCTGGACTCAAGCTATCCTACAAGTAGCTGGGACTACATGTGTGTGCCACCATGCCCAGCTAATTAAAAAATTTTGTTTTCTTTAGAGGTGAGATCTTGCTATGTCACCTAGGCTATTCTCAAACTCCTGTCCTCAAGCAATCCTCTCACTTCAGCCTCTCAAAAGCCCTATACTTTAATAATCATTCCTAGGGATACTGATAGAGATAGTACAGAACCACATTTTAAAAAACACTATAGTAATCCATGAATCTGTAGACAGAGAAATCTTTTGTTTTTAAAATATGGCAGACTGTCTACCTTGACTTCAACTCTAAAACATTACTTTTATGTTACATTGTAAAATATCATCAGTGATGCATAAAACACAGCTTTTAAAATGTACAATCAACCTGTGGAGAAGGTAAGGGTGAGGGATGCCTAATAAAGAAAGTAAGAGCTAAAGAGGTAGATGAGGTGCTGAGGCCAGGTTTCACCTTGAGAGCATTTGCTAGACAAGTGAATTTGAAAACCCTACTAAGGTATCATTTCTCACCTATCAGATTTGAAAAAAAAAATCCTAAAAGCTTGAAAACTTCCTATGTTTGGAAGTAGGCTTTCTCATGTATTACTGGCAGGAATGCAAAAAAGCACAATCCTTATAAGAGAAGCTGGCAACACTTAGCAAACGTTACATAGACATTTTCCCTTTAATTCATTAATCCCTATTTTGGGAATTGATTTCAAATATACAGTGACAAAAATACAAGAAGACACACACAGAAGGTTATTCAACCAAGAAAAGGAGAATAAGAAAATACACATTTTCTTATATTTAAAAAAAGATGGAAGAATGGTTATCTATAAAACAGGGGGACCATGGGGTAGAGGAAACAAATAGAAATTTGTCTATTTCAAATATATGTTATTTTGTATATTTAATTTTGTTATCATGTAAATGTTATGAAAAATTCTAAAATGAAGTTAAATAAATGAAAAAAGCAATTATAGAAATGGAAAAGAAAGTGAAACAAATGAACCTGTTTTTAGATGAGACATAGTTTCCAAAAGCAAGTATTTCAAATGACTTTAAAACAATAATTTGACTGTATATCCCTCATGGGGATAGATGCAGAAGACACAAACAAAACAAAAACAGAAACAAATACAAAAAACCCACACACAATTCTAAAATGTGAAACCATCTTAGTAATCATATTGTTGATGATAGAATTGATATTGTTATTTGGAGACTGTTGTGTGTGTTATAGTAAGAAAAGTAGTTATATGGTGTTGATGAGAAATCAGATTTTTTTGTATCCTTGAAAGGAAGGAAAAAATTTAGTGAGGTTCTATAAAAACTCTGTATTCTGGAATTTAAATGAGAGATATCAATATGAACTCACGATACATTTTTTTTTCAACAAAACATATGTCTTAGCTTTGTCCACCAAAAATGCCCAGAAACAGTGACCAACCCAATAGCAGTGAACAATCCTTTACCTTCTAGATTTTGTTCTATCTAAATACTACTTACCACTAAAAGGGATCAGAGCTCTTTAGGGAAATGGTCGGTTCCAGGTTTGGGGCACAAATGAGCATGGAACTTTTGTCAAACCAAAAAGGAAAGAAGCTATTAAATATTACTAGAATTATGTCAAAAGAACTGAAGAGCTAATCTGAATAAATTCTCATTGACCAAAGATGAGACAACTTCAGCATCAATAAAGATAATAACGTTTAAATCTGTAGGTTCATAATTACACAAAAAAACCCCACCCACCTTGTTTAGTCATCTTGGAGGGTTTCAGCGAACCATCTCATTATTTTGAAAACAAGTAAAGGAAAAAGTCAGAAATCTATTCTGGTTTTTCCATATGATCTGTACTTCAGAGTAACCAAATCGTAGAAAAAAAGAACATTTCTCTTTAAATAAATTTAACTGATAAATGAAGGCAAAATAGCAAACTTGGGATATCATTAAGCAATGACCCTCAGTGACTGAGAATATCACAGGGAGAGAGACCATAAGACATCATGTACCACTTGATAAAGTCATCCTGCCAAAAAAGAAAACAATGAATCCAAATTTGATCAGATCTCTAGACATTATTGCTGATTTACAAGAAATACAAGGGACAGAGAAACATTTTAAATAATACCATAGAGATATAACCAACAAAACCCAGACTGTGGAAAGCTTCAGTTTCCACAAATGTTTCAAACTTCACACTTTCAAAGTTTCAAACTTCACAGTTTTAAAGTTCCAGACTTTACAGTTTCAAACAAATGAGATGTTTCTTCAACAACAACAACAAACAATTTAAAGGAAAAAAGAGATGGAGCATAAACTGTAAGTTAAAAGCGATTTAGGAGATATAATAAATAATTGAAATATGTGGATCTTATTTTGATTCTGATTTAAATAAGCTTTAAACAAAATTATAATACAACCAGGGAAAAGTAAACACTAACTAGATTTGATAATATTAGGGAATTATTAGCATTTTTAGATGTGATTATATTGTGATTGTGTATTTTTTAAAAATTCTTACCTTTTAGAGCAGAGGTTGGCAAACTATGGCCTGTGAGTCAAATCCAGCCCACAGCCTGTTATATAAAGTTTGATTGGAACAGCCCTGCCCATTTGTTGACATGTTGTCTATAGCTGCTTTTGCACTACAATGGTAGATTTGAGTAGTTGTAACAGAGACCTTATCTGACTCTTTGCCAACCCCTTTTTTAGAGATACCTACTGATATGTTTGCAGATGAAATGAGGTGATGCCTGGGTTTGCTTCCAAATATTCCAGAGGAGGAAGAATGAGTGACAATACAGATGAACCAGGATTGACTATGTATATATTCATAGTTATCAAATTTGAGTTCACAATTTTGGTTCATTATACTATAATTCCTCTACTTCCATGTATTTTTGTAAATTTTCATGATACAATATTTATAAATAAGGTAAATGTGCATTTACTAACATAAAATATTTTCATAATATAATTATTGTTAAATGAATAAAGCAAGTTGTAAAGTGATATGGCCCGATCCCATTTGAGTAAAAAAGTATATTATATATTTATGTGCATGCATAAAATGTGTGAAATAACACAGACAAAACTTAAGAGTAAGAGTGGCAAAGGATGGGATGGAAATAGTGACTGTTTTTTTCTTTTTTCTTTGTACAATTCTGTTCTGTTGATATTTTTCTTAAAAATTAATATTTTCTCTTTTTTTTTTCAGAAAGCCTAAGTGGTCCTTCTTTTTAACTTTGATTTAGTTTCATGGTTACATGTGTAAGTTTGTTATACAGGTAAATTGCATGTCATAGGGGTTTGGTGTACAGATCATTTTGTTGCTCAGGTAATAAGCATAGTACCTGATAGGTAGTTTTTAGATTCTCACCCTTCTCCCACCCTCCGCCTTCAAGTAGGCCACAGTATCTGTTGTTTCCTTTTGTGTGTCTGTATATAGTCAATGTTTAGCTCCCAGCTAAGTGTGAACCTGCTGTATTTGATTTTCTGTTCCTGCATTAGTTCACTTAGGACCTCCAGCTCTATCCATGTTGCTACAAAGGACATAATCTCATTCTTTTTCATGTCTGCATAGTATTCCATGTTGTATATGTGCCACATTTCTTTATCCAGTCTGCCATTGATGGGCATTCAGATTGATTCCATGTCTTTGCTATTGTGAATAGTGCTGTGGTGAACATAGATGTGCGTGGGTCTTTATAGTAGAATGATTTACATTCTTTTGGGTATATACCCCAAAATGAGATTGCTGGGTCAAATGGTATTTTCTGTTTTAAGTTCTTTGAGAAATCACCAAACTGCTTTCCAAAATGGCTGACCTAATTTACATTCCCACCAGCAGTGTATAAGCATTCTTTTTTTCCTGCAATCTTGCCAGCATCTTTTATTTTTTGACTTTTTAAAATAGCTCATCTGACTGGTGTGAGATGGTATCTTGTTATGGCTTTGATTTGCATTTCCCTAACGATTAGTGATATTGAACATTTTTCATATTCTTGTTGGCTGTGTGCATGTTTCTTTTGAAAAGTGCCTGTTCATGTCTTTTGCCCACTTTTTAATGGGGTTGCTTGTTTTTTACTTGTTAGTTTAAGTTCCTTGTAGCTTCTGGATATTAGACCTTTGTTGGATGCATAGTTTGCAAATATTTTCTCCCATTCTGTAGGTTTTCTGTTTACTCTGTTGATAGTTTCTTTTGCTGTGCAGAAGCTCTTTAGTTTAATTAGGTCCTATCTGTCAATTTTTATTTTTGTTGCAATTGTGTTTGGTGTCTTCATCCTGAAATCTTTCCCAGGGCCTATGGCCAGATGGTATTTCCTAGGTTATCTTTTAGGGTTTCTATAGTTTTAGGTTTTACATTTAAGTCTTTAATTTATCTTGAGTTGACTTTTGTATATGGTGTAAATAAGGTGCCCAGTTTGAATCTTCTGCATATGGCTAGCCAGTTATTCCAGCACCATTTATTGAATAGGAAGTCTTTTCCCCATTGCTTGTTTTCATTGACTTATTAAAGATCTGGTCGTTGTAGGTGTACAGTTTATTTCTGAGCTCTCCATTCTGTTCCGTTGGTCTGTGTCTGTTTTTGTACCAGTATCATCTGTTTTTGTTACTGTAGCCTTTGTAGTATAGTTTGAAGTCAGGTAATGTGATGCCCCAGCTTTGTTCTTTTTGCTTAGGATTGCTTTGTCTATTTGGGCTCTTTTATGGTTCCATAGGAATGTTAAATACTTTTTCTAATTCTATGAAGAATGTCATTGGTAGTTTGATAGGAATAGCTTGAATCTGTGAATTGCTTTTGTCAGTATGGCCATTTTAACAATATTGATTCTTGGTATCCATGAGCATAGAATGTTTTTCCATTTGCTTGTGTCATCTGTAATTTCTTTGAGCAGTGTTTTGTCATTTTCATTGTAGAGATCTTTTACCTCCCTCGTTAGCTGTGTTCCTAGGTATTTTATTGTTTTTGTGGCTATTGTGAATGGGATTGCATTCTTTATTTGGCTCTCAGCTTGGATGTTGTTGATGTACAGGAATGCTACTAATTTTTCTACATTGATTTTGTATCCTGAAACATTGCTGAATTTGTTTGTCTGATCTAGGAGCTTTTGGGCAGAGACTATGGGGTTTTCTAGGTATAGAATAATATCATCTACAAACAGAGATAGTTTGACTTCCTCTATTCCTAGTTGGATGCATTTTATTTCTTTCTCTTGCCTCATCACTCTGGCTAGGATTTCCAGCACTATGTTGAATAGGAATGGTGAGAGTGGGCATCCTTGTCTTATTTCAGTTCTCAAGGGGAATGTTTCCAGCCTTTGCCCACATAGTAAGGTGTTGGCTATGGGTTTGTCATGGATGGCTCTTATTATTTTGAAGTATGTTTTTTCAACGCCTAGTTTGTTGAGGGCTTTTTACATGAAGGGATGTTGAATTTTATTGAAATTTTTTCTGCGTCTGTTGAGATGATCATATGGTTTTTGTTTTTTGTTCTGTTAATGGGATGAATTACATGCATTGATTTGTGTATGTTGAACCAACCTTGCATCCCAGGAGTAAAGCCTACTTAATCATGGTTGATTAGCTTTTTGATGTGCTGCTAGATTTGGCTTGCTAGTATTTTGTTGGGGATTTTTGCATCTATGCTTATCAAGGATATTGGCCTGAAGTTTTCTTTTTTTTTGTTGTGTCCCTGCCAGGTTTTGGTATCAGAATGATGATGGCTTCATAGAATAAGTTATGGGGGAGTCTGTCCTCTTCAATTTTTTGAAATATTTTCTATGGAAATTGTACCAGCTCTTCTTTATATATCTGGAAGAATTTTGTTGTGAATCTATCTGGTCCTGGGCTTTTCATGGTTAGTAGGCTTTTTATTACTGATTCAATTTCAGAATTTGTTATTGGTCTGTTTAGAGTTTTAATTTCTTCCTGGTTCAATCTGGGAAGGTTGTGTGTTTCTAGGAATTTATCCATGTCTTCTAGTTTTTCTAGTTTGTGTGCATAGAGGTGTTCATAATAGTCTCTGAAGGTTTTTGCATTCTTGTGTTTCATTTGTAATTTATGATTGTGTTTATTTGAATCTTTTCCTTTCTTTTCATTAGACTAGCTAGCAGTCTATCAATCTTATTTATTTTTCCAAAGAGCCAATTCCTGGATTTGTTGATCTTTTGTATGGTTTTTCATGTCTCAACTTCATTCAGTTCAGCTCTGATTTTGGTTATTTCTTGTCTTTTGCTAGCTTTGGGGTTAGTTTGTTCTTGTTTCTCATTTTCTAGTTCCTGGAGGTATAACGTTAGGTTGTTAATTTGAGATCTTTCTAAATTTTTGATGTGGGCTTTAGCACTATAAACATTTCTCGTAACACTACTTTAGACATGTCCCAGAGATTCTGGTATGTTGTATCTTTGTTCTTACTAGTTTCAAATAATTTCTTGATTTCTGCCTTAATTTCATCATTTACTCAAAAGCCATTTAGGAGGAGGTTGTTTAATTTCCGTGTGCTGTGGTCCAAGAGTGTGGTTGGCATGATTTTGGTTTTTTTGAATTTGCTGAGAATTGTCTTATGGCTGATTTTGTGGTCAGTTTTAGAGTATGTGATGTGCCATGTGCAGGTAAGAAGAACGTATATTCTATTGTTTTGAGGTGGAGAGTTCTGTAGATGTCTGTTAGGTCCATTTGCTCAAGTGTTCAGTTCAGGTCCTGACTACCTTTGTTAGTTTTCTGCCTCAGTGATCTGTCTAATATTGCCAGTGGGGTGCTGAATTCTCCCACTATTATTGTGGGGTTATCTAAGTCTCTTCGTAGGTCTCTAAGAAATTATTTTATGAATCTGGGTGCTCCTGTGTTGGGTGTATATATATTTAAAAATAATTAGGTTTTCTTGTTGAATTGAACCCTTTACTATTATGTAATGCCCTTCTTTGTGTTTTTTAAATCATTGTTGGCTTAAGGTCTGTTTTTTCTGAAATTAGAATAGCAACCCCTGCTATTTTCTGTTTTTTATTTGCTTAGTAGATTTTTTTCCATCTATTTACTTTGAGCCTGTGGGTGTCATTGCATGTGAGATGAGTCTCTTGAAGACAGCACAAAATTGTATCTTGCTTTTTTACCCAACTTGCCACTCTGTGCCTTTTAATTGGGGTATTTAGCCCATTAGCATTCAAGGTTAATATTGACATGTGCAGACTTGACCCTGCCATTGTGAGTTAGCTGGTTATTATGCTGACTTGATTGTGCTGCTTCATAGTTTCAATGGTCATTGTACGTAAGTGTGTTTTTGTGGTGGCTAGTAATGGTCTTTTCTTTCCATATTTAGCACTCCCTTAAGGACCTCTTGTAAGGCAAGTCTGGTGGCAACAAATTCCCTTAGCATCTGCTTTTCTGAAAAGGATCTGATATCTCCTTTGTTTATGAACATTAGTTTAGCTGGATATGAAATTGTGGTTGGAATTTCTTTTCTTTAAGAATGTTGAATATAGGCCCTCAGTCTTTCCTGGCTTGCAGGTTTTTTCCCAAATGTTCACTGTTAGCCTGATGGGGTTCCCTTTGGAGGTGACCTACTCCTTCTCCCTAGCTGCCTTTAACATTTTTTTTCCCTTCCATCTTGACCTTGTGGAATCTGATGACTATGTGTCTTGGGGATGGTCATCTTGTGTAGTATCTCACAGGGTGTCTCTGCATTTCTTGCTTGAATTTGAATGTTGGCCTCTCTAAAGTTTGGAGAAATTTTCATGGATGATATCCTTAAATATGTTTCCCAAGTTGCTTGATTTCTCTCCCTCTCTTTCAAAGACACCAATGTATCATAGACTTGGTCTCTTTACATAAACCCATATTTATCAGAGGTTTTGTTCATTCTTTTTTTGTTCTTTTTTCTTTACTTTTGTCTGACTGAGTTATTTTGGAAAACTGGTCTTCGAGCTCTGAGATTCTTTCCTCAGCTTGGTCTATTCTGCTGTACATACTTGTGATAGTATTACAAAATTCTTAAAGTGAGTTTTTGAGCTCTATCAGATCAGTTTGGTTCTTTCTTAAAATGGCCATTTCATCTTTCAGCTCTTGAATCATTTTATGGTATTCCTTAGAGTCCTTGTATTGGGTTTTGACTTTCTCTTGAATCTTGATGATTTTTGTTCCTATCCATATTCTGAATTCTGTGTCTTTCAACCATTTCCCACTCTGCATGGTTAAGAACCATTGCTGTCCAGGCGTGGTGGCTCATGCCTGTAATCCCAGCACTTTGGGAGGCCGAGACGGGCGGATCATAAGGTCAGTAGATTGAGACCATCCTGGCTAACATGGTGAAACCCTGTCCTACTAAAAATACAAAATATTAGCCGGGCATGGTGGCGGGCGACTGTAGTCCCAGCTACTTGGAAGGCTGAGGCAGGAGAATGGCGTGAACCCAGGAGGTGGAGCTTACAGTGAGCCGAGATCGGGCCACTGCACTCCAGCCTGGGTGACAAAGCGAGACTCTGTCTCAAAAAAAAAAAAAGAACCATTGCTGAGGAACTAGTGAAATCATTTGAAGGTAAGAAGACAGTCTGGCTTTATAAGTTGCCAGCATTCTTGCACTGATTTTTTCTCATCTGAGTGGGTTGATGTTCCTTCAGTCTTTGAGGTTACTGTTTTTTTGTTTTTGTTTTGTTTTTTGCTTTTATTTTCTATGATTCCCTTAGGGATTCGATTGTGGATTCAGTGGACTGGCTTCATTTCTGAAACATTTCAGGGGGCCAAGCCTCAGTTCAGCACTCGTGGGTTGTATGCTCTAACTCTTGGGGGCCAGTGCTGGGCCCCTGGCTTTGTTCTCTGGCCCCTTGACATAAGGAACCTGCTGCACTGGAGGACAGAGGTGTTCTCAGTCCACTGGCCGTAACCCTCCAATAGTGGGTGTCTGCCAAAGCACTTTGTTGGGGTGGTAGCAGCAGGATCCATGCTCACTTGCACATTCCAGCAGCTCCAGCAGCGAGGTGGGGTGCATGCATGTTGGCTGGGGAGGGGCACTGGCTGGAGTGGGGCGGCGGTGTTCCTTCATGTGCTTGCGTGGAGGCAGCAGCCTCTTTTCTTTTTATAGTAATTACTTTTTTAAAAAGTTAAAGTTTGAAATTACACCTTTATCTCACACCCTATATAAAAATCAACTCAAAATTAAAGGCTTAAATGTAAGACTTGAACTTATAAAACCACTAGAAGAAAACTTAAGGGAAAAACTTTACAACATTGGTCTGAGCAATGATTTTTTTGGATATAAGCCCCCCAAAATAGACAAATGAGATTACATAAAACTAAGAAGCTTTTGCACAGCCAAAGAAACAACCAACAGAGTGAAGAAACAACCTACACAATGAAAGAAATTTTCAAACTGTACATCTGGTAAGGGGTTAATATCCAAAATATGTAAGAAACTCATGCAGCTCAATAGTTAGAAAACAAATAACCTTATGGAAAAAGAAGCAAAGGATCAGAATAAACATTTCTCAAAAGAAGGCATAGTAATGACCACTAGACAGATATGAAAAAATGCTCAACATTGCTAATCTTTAGAGAAATGCAAATTAAAACCACAGTGAGGTATCATTTTGCACCTGTTAGAATGGCTATTATCAAAAAGATGAAAGATAGCAAGAATTGGTGATGATGAGGAGAAAAGGGAACCCTTCCACACTGTTGCTGGGAATCAGTATAGCCATTATGGAAAACAGTATGGAGACACCTCAAAAACTTAAAAATGAGCTGGGCACGGTGGCTTACACCTGTAATCCCAGCAGTTTGGGAGGCTGAGGCGGGCCTGAGGTCAGGAGTTTGAGACCAGCCTGGCCAACACGGCAAAACCCTGTTTCTACTAAAAATACAAAAATTATCCAGTGTGATGGCAGGCACCTGTAATCCCAGCTACTCAGGAGGCTAAGGCAAGAGAATCGTTTGAACTCAGGAGGCGGAGGTTGCAGTGAGCTGAGACCGTGCCATTGCACTCCAGCCTGGGCAACAAGAGTGAAACTCTGTCTCAAACAAACAAACAAACAAACAAACAAAAAAACACTTAAAAATGGGATGGGAGTACCATATGATCCAGCAATCTCACTACTTGGTATATATCCAAAGGAAATGAATCAGCATGTCAAAGAGATGTCTGCACTCCTATGTTCATTGCAGCATTATCCACAATAGCCAAGATATGGAATCAACCTCAGTGTCCATTAATGAATGAATGGATAAAGAAAATGTGATATATACACACAATGGAATACTATTAAGCCCTAAAAAGAAGGAAATCCTGCCATTTGCAACAACATGGATGAACCTGGAGGATGTTATGCTAAGTGTAATAAGTCAGGCACAGAAAGACAAATGCTGCACTTATATGTGGAATTTAAAAAAGTCAAACTCACAGAAGTAGAGAGTAGAATGGTGGTTACCAGAAACTGGAGGTGGGAGGCTTGGGGAGATGATGGTCAAAAGATACAAAATTTCAGGCCAGGCAGGGTGGCTCATGCTTGTAATTCCAGCACTTTGGGAGGCCAAGGTGGGCGGATCACGAGTTCAAGAGATCAAGACCATCCTGGCCAACATGGTGAAACTCCGTCTCTGCTAAAAACACAAAAATTAGCTGAGTGTGGTGGTGGGCACCTGTAGTCCCAGCTACTCGGGAGGCTGAGGCAGGAGAATCACTTGAACCTGGGAGGCGGAGCTTGCAGTGAGCTGAGATTGCGCCACTGCACTCCAGCCTGGTGACAGAGTGAGACTCCATCTCAAAAAAAAAAAAAAAAAAAGATACAAAATTTCAGTTAGGTAGGAGAAATAAGTTCAAGATATGTACTGTATAATATGATGACTATAGTTAATGTATTGTATTCTTGAAAATCGCTAGGAGAGTATATTTTAAGTGTTTTCACCATAAAAAATGATAAGTATGTGAGATAGTTCTTATTTTGAGCTGTATTTAGCCATTCCACAATTTATACATATTTCAAAACATGTTGCACATAATATATAATTTTTAATTTTATTAATTTTATAAATTTTAATTGTCAATTAAAAATAATGAATGAATAATTTAAAAATTGTGACTGTGTCACAAATTTCTAACAGAAGTTGACTTTCAAATAAATTGGTGAGCAGCTCTTAATAAAAGATTTTCCAAGACAATTCCACACACATTTGTCTGATTGATTTATTGATTTGTTTTGTTTGTTTTTTAGGTTACTGGTCAGCCTCTCTTGAATATCTTTTCTATTTTAGGGAAAATCCCACATTATGAGTCCCAGTTCTCCAAAGGCAAAGTCAGGACTTAACATTCTGGCCTCCTTTGCAGCTGGTGAGCAGGCCTGGGGCCCATGACAGGCAGACACAGAAGTGCCGGGCAAGAGGAGAGTGCCTTTCTGGGTAGCTGCTGGCACCAGGACCAAGCTCCAGCAGCCCAGGCTGTGGCATTGGAGCCGGTTGAGGAGTGGGAGCTTCCAGAGGATGGGGGGAGTTTCCGCTGGAGCAGCCCTTCCAGGTGGTCAGGCCCACTCCTGGCTACAGACTGCGTGTAAGCCCCTTACATCTATTGATACATCCCTTTGTTTTCATTAAGACTCAGTGAATATTGCAGCTACAAATTCTGACATATGGTGGCAGATGATCTTTGAATGATGATAATAGCTTAATAGCTGCTGCCTTCCTTTTCCTTTTATTCCAATTGAAAAGATTTTAATATGTGCTTAAAAAACACTTGTTGAATGAAAGAATAGATGAATGAATGAATGAATGAATAAGTTTGTGTTCACCTCAGCAGCATATATACTAAAAGTGGAATGGGTAGGCCTATGAGACAGGGCCCAAGACAACAGTGGGTTTGACAATTATGTATGAGGAAGATACATCCTCACAGAAATTATCCCTGAGTTGCAGACTGAAAAATTTCTACCACTAGGCTCAGGGCTGTTGGATGACTTGGCCAGGACCTGGAAGCCGGTGATGAGTGCATCTGGAACTAGGTCCCCAGCCTCCAGCTTCCTAAACCCAGTCTCTTTCCACCCATTTACTCTGTGTAGTGTCATCAAATAATTCTTCCAGGCTTTAGCCCCAGGGCCAGGAGCCAGATGAAGAGGAGTGGGAAGTGAGTGGTGTTGGTGAATTGCAAAACTGAGTATTTTCATGCTTATTTCCCAGCTTATTAAACAGTAGAATTTTCTCTAAAATTTTTTTCTGAGAGGTTGATTAATGGTTACAAATATACACTTTGATGGAAGAACTAAGACACTGATAGATCAGTAGGGTGATTACAGTTTATAATAATCTATTATATTTATATTTATATATTGCATTTATATGTAAATGTTGTATTTTTTTATATTTAGAAATATAAATAGAAGAGAATAATTTGAGTGTTTGTAGTATAAAGCAAAGACAAATATTTAAGGTGATAGATATCCTAATTGTACTGATTTGATCTTTAGAAATTATGTGAATGTGTTAAATGATCACATGTAGTCTGAAAATATGTACATCTATGATGTATCAATAAGTAAAAAATAAATAAAAACATGCTTCAGTGCAAAAGAATAAAATATTTTTCTGTACAAAAAGCAGTGACAACATTGTCATTTTTGATCCAATAACACCAAGTACAACGTCCTGCCCCTTAAAACAATTTCTCTGAAAATCAGTGTTAGGTCACCTGAAAAGAACCTTTCCCCTGAGCTCTGTAATTCAGACAACTTCCACAGAAGGAGGAAGTGTTGACACCTAGAACCCATGTTTCCCCTTTAGCGTTCTGCTTTTATTCTTCTGACCTGGAATTCACCATAGATGTTCTACAAGACAGAGTGGAGAAGCCACTCAGTGTCTTGGACATCCACTCCAGGAGAGGCAGAATTGTAATGAGAAATGCAGTGGGGACTGTGTCTCCCAAGGCAGCACAGACTTTTTCAGAGACAGGAAGAAATGGGCTAGAATCTAGCCCAGGCCAGGGAAAGAAGACCCCTCCCTCTGCCTTCTCCAGGCTTTGAGGCACAGGCTGTGGTTGCTAAGGGTAACATGGCTCACTCAGGAGAATTTATCTAGCTTGGCAGGTTTTTTTAAGATCCTGGTTTAACAGCATGATGATGGTATTGTTTAAATTCCAAAGTACCTGGAATACTCTAGAATAATATTCTAGAACAACCTAGAAAAAAGTATCTGAAATAATCTAGAGATGTGAAGTACCTGGAACATCTTGGGTGAAAGGTCTAACAAAAGTTACTGTTTTGACAGGCTTACTTCATGCTTTAGTTCTTTAAGTTTTAAAATTTCATCTTGGCCCATTGGGAAGTTCATTAAAATGCCTTTGCACCAGTTTTTTGGAGGTAAATGCTTTTTGGGTTTCTTAAAACATTCCTCTTCAAATCCCTTCATGGTCTCAGGAAAAGTATGTGTGTGGGGCCTCCCCCTCCTCTTCCCTGAAAAAGACCCTGGCCACCTATGACAGATGGAGGCCTGTCGATTGAATCTAAAGCTACTGAATAATAAAAACTCATGAAAAATAAATGTGCTCAGAGAAATAAGCTTTTCCATAGCAGCTCATTCCATCATATTTTCCTGATGGCCTATCTAATTTATGATGGCAACTCCATAGCAATTCCTCTTAATTTCCTATTATGAGTAACTTATTTTTTCCCCTTCTGAAAGTGCAGTGTGAAAGTTTTTATCGCACACATGCGGGTAAGAAGACAGCCTCAGACACTTGAGTCGATGCCAACACAGCATCTTGAATTGCCCCTTGGATCCAGGCTTTTGTAAAAGTTAATCCATTGGAAGGCTGACAGTATGGCAGGAACAGTTTTGATTAGAGCTCCTATTTAAACTTCAAGTGCAAAGAAAGGTTTTAGCTGTCATAAGGTGAAACATACTGGGATAAAACAGGGCACCCTCCACCGTAGGTTTGGAAAATGGGTTCACGCTATTTTCAGCCAGACCCAAATGAATCAGCCAGCTTCCCCAACTATTCCCATTCCACTGCTGAGCATGCAACACTTGCCATTTGTAATCTAAACATCATTTGGTAGATGAGAACAAAACACCAATCAGAACTGAGAGAGAGACCAGAAATATGGTCACTGGCTCAGTGGGACACACAAGATGGAGCCTGGACCGCATGACTCAGGGAGGTTACCTCTGGGGAGAAGAGAATTTCAGAAGAGGCTAAAATGGCAGAGGGGCTTCCTCTTCAGGACAGACCCCAAGGCTGAACGTGAGTGAAATGATGCTTCAGGGACTGTGCGGTTTGCACAGTGGACAAAGACCTTGACTCACAGAAGGTGACGAATCCAGTTTTGCCCACTCTTTGTGGTCAATAAGTGTGGATTCTGTAAACTATCCTGTTAAGGAAGGCTGACACTTTTTTCCCCCCAAACAGAATGAGGAGCAATCGTTTAAATTCATAAATCATAAAGCACAGTAGAAAGCCCAGAGATCTTAGAGCTGGCAGACCTGAATTTGAATCCTGGCTGTGTGGTCTTTTGTTCAGTACTGGACTTCAATTTCTCCATTTGCCAAAGAGATGTTAGTTGGAATTATATCTTTCCCACTAAGAATGGGGAAAGGGGGGCTTGCCTTCCATATCTTTCCATGAAGCACTGTTTTTCATCTGTCTCATCTTTGACTACGTTTATTGTCATTATTATGTATTTCAGTGCTGATATTGTTGCATGTGTATTTGTCCCTTGAGGTAGTCTACATGCTTCTTTAGAGAAAGGCCCACATCTTAGGACTCCCTATTCTGCACTGTGCTGGATACATACATAGTAGGTGAGGAGACATTTGGTGTTAGGGAAAAGACCTTTATTTTCCTCAAATGCAACTACTCAATATTGACCTAAAATTACTGGTAACTACTAATATGGACCCTGGCACGGCAGACTCTTGCGTTGTCCACAGGCATTGCTGAGAAAGCATGAATTTGGGCCCCCTGCACAAAAGTTAACCACGTGGCAAGACTCCTCAGCTCACCAGATTGTCTTTTTAATTAGTTGAAGTTGTAGGCTTTAAGTCATTACAAGATGATGCAAGTAAGTTATAGCACGGTAATTTAAATGTAGGCACAACTGTGATGTTTGAATTACAAAAAGTATGATTGCTTTATAGCAGGTGCTGCAGTTTCCCAGCGGATGGGAGTGGCCTAGCTTGAGGCTGCCTGGCTGCTGTTGATAAGAGCCAGCCATACCCAGATAGCAGGGAGAGAAGGCCTCTCTCCAGACAAGATGTAGACCACGCCACTGTGCCGACAGAAGCTGGATCCGCTATTGGAGATGCTGACCCTCTCCTGACAAGAAGGGGAGACCCTGCCGACTGCCAGATCCCCACCAACCCCAAATGCCACCTGCAGGGGCTGTGCCCTACCTGGAGTGGACCAGTCTGTAACCTTTCATCTCCTCTGGCTAGAAATTGACTCTTTCCTCCCCACTGTGTCTAAGATGGCAGCAAAAGACACTAAATTTGCTTTTATTTACTAGTGGGTCCATGTTCTCTCTACAAGAGCTCTCTCAACTAGAGGAAAATAACTCACTCTTAGTTTCACTTTCAGAACACAGAAATCTGTCTTTGTCCTGACTGAGATGCTCATTATGCCTTCTGCACAAAGGGGAAGAGGAGCAGATATGATAGAGAAAGAGAGCCATGCTAAAGCTGGGCATTTATTGAATGGCAACATAGTGCCAAGCACTGCAAACTCAGAAAGGAATGAGACAGCTCCCTGAAGATTCTGATCATCCGTGATTTAGGTCAGTTGAGAGATTAGGTGGATGCTTGTTCATGTCACACACACACACAGATACACACATACACACACCCCCCCCAATCAATCATCACAGTAGAAGATATATAATAGTAGCACTGACTCTCGAGGTTGGAAAGGGGAGATGCCAAGAGTTTCAGGAACAGTAGGATCCACAGAGGCTCTGCTCTCACCTCGCCAATTCTGCCATGGGCCGACAAACAGCAAAGGTCTACCTCGAAGAGGGACAGTGACCTTGTGACCAGTGGGGAGGCAACACTCTGCGTTTTGCCAACGCAAATCATCAGTGACCCTTTGGCTTCCATTAATTGTATGATCTAGATTGGCTTTGTGGAGACCTGCACCCCACCTGCTAGGCAGGAGTTCTAAGGCCAGAATCTCAGGGCTAAGGGGTCATTAAGTTTATCTACTTCTGAACCGGCATCCTCATTGTCACATCTTGGCTAAATTGTTGACCTGGTTCTGGTCACTCAGGGCACAATGACAAGGCTTTGATTGTCAACCACTGTAGCTGGCTCCAGCTTTGCTTGGCTTTGACAGATGAAAAGCCATTTTCCACATTGTAGGCCTGCTTCCTGTGGTTTCATCCAGTCCAGTGAGTATTCGGCCCTGTGATTGACACAACCTCAGAATGTGTATGCACCCCCAGAAGACTGTCGTCTGAAAGGAGGGGAATGTGGAAATATCAACAGTTATAGAAACCAACAGGATGTAGACAGGCGTCTAAATAATTCTAATTTCTCATTTTTTGGAAGAGGTATTTCCCAGTGAGCAAACATCAGTAGGGAAAGGCGAACTCTCGGGGGCCTGAGAGGTAAGTTTCCCTCATACCAGGACTTATGAGGACCTTGGAGGAAGTGTCCATATTTAGATTCAAGCAAAGAAAGTGATATTAAAGGTGGTCTTAGGAGCCAAAAGGTCATTACTAGTTAGTGAGTGACAGGAAAATAGAGTCATGGGGCTAGGAAAAATTTAGCAGCTGTGTAACCCCGGGATCCTGACATTTCTGAACATCAGGATTGCTACACATTATCCAGAGGCATTGCTGACTGCTCAGGACAGTAGGAGTGGTCCCACCAATGCAAATTCTGGGTAGATAAGGCCCCAGTCTGATTTGTTCTCCATTGTATTTCCAGAGCCAGACCCAGTGACTAGCTCAGTGCCTAGCTGTCTTAGTTGAGGCTGCTATAACAAAATACCACAGGCTGAGTGGCTTATCAACAAGGGAAATTTATTCCTCACAATTCTGGAGGCTGGAAGTTCAAGGTCAAGGTGCCAGCATGGTCATGTTCTTGTGAGAGCCCTCTTCCAGGTGCAGACTGCCAACTTCTCATTCTATCCTTGAATGGCAGAAACAGAGCCAGTTATAAGGGCACTCATCCCATTCATGAGGGCTCCACCCTCATGACCTAACCACCTCCCAAAGGTCCCACCTCCTAATACCATCACATTGGGGATTAGATTTTACATGTGAATTTGAGAGGAACATAGATATTCAATCCATAACGCTGGCATAGAATGAATCCCTAGCAAATACCTGTTGAATTGGTGAATGAATACTGATTGAGGAAATAGTATAATGCCAAGTGATCATAAATTCACTTAAAATTTTTAAAGGACTTGCATTTAGTATATTACAATAGTATACATATTTATCTGAAATATTATTACATATATGTGCTAAATAGATTACAGAGACTACTCTATTTACAAAAGGTCGGGTTCAAAAAAGCTATTTGCAGGACTCTTGACCAAAAGGAGATTGTATAAACAATGTTAATGACATCTAATAGTGGCAGTGGAGGTGATGTGTTTTCTGCTGTCCTTAAAGTGTATAAAGTCCTTAAACCAACAACCTTCTGAGTAAGATACTAACATAACTTTCATTTTATAGATGAGGAACCTGAAGGTCAGAGAGAATTTAAGTGATGGTCCCTAGGTTACTCAGCTGCTGGTAAGTTGCAGGGTCAGAATTTGAATGGAGGCACGTTTACATCAGTGTTTGGAGACACAACCACTACGTTATGCTTTCATCGGAGGTACAAAAGTTTCTAAATTGAAGTTGTAAGTAGAGTTTCTGTATTTATTTGGCTTATTAACCATGTTGGTGCTCATGTGATTAGCTTATCCCAGTAGTAACTTGAGGGACCTGCCTGTAGGTATAGGTTAATTCTAGCTTAACCCCCAAATAAACTTGAATTTCCGGTCCTCAGCTCCTTGAGGCTCTCTCAGCTTTCAATACTGGGCTCTGTCAAGTCCCTTGGTCACTGCTGACCAAGCAGCACCCACATTAGAGGGCTCAGACCCATCAGCAAATGTGGTCTGGAGTTAATTTTGCTGTTCAGTGAGCATGGAGTGACTCATTGGACTGTAATCCTCCCAGCCCGGGTGATTGTTATGTCTGCATGACAGGTTTTTGGGTCGAATTTCCTGATTAGTGCTTCCCTTGCTGGGACTAGAACTCAGAACTGAAGTTACCATGACTGAGACCCGACATACCCTATCTTGTGCTTCTTAGTTTTTTCCCTTTACATCTATGATAGTCAGGGTAGACTACACTCTTTAATAAATAGACTCCAAATGTGTAATTGTTCAAGCACATTAGAAGTTTACTTCTCCTTCATGTAAGTATAGACCAGTGGCTGTCTCTGGTTGATAGAGAATTCTGCTCCATGCAGTGATTCAGGGATTCTGGCTCCTTTTAGCTTGTGGTTTCAAATGTGTAATTGTTCAAGCACATTAGAAGTTTACTTCTCCTTCATGTAAGTATAGACCAGTGGCTGTCTCTGGTTGATAGGGAATTCTGCTCCATGCAGTGATTCAGGGATTCTGGCTCCTTTTAGCTTGTGGTTCCACTGTCACCTAGGGCATTATTGGTTTCTCTATCCAGCTGGAGGAAGGAGACAAAGAGGATGGAGTCATCATTGTCACACCCTAAAAGCCACTCACATTCCATGGCTAGAATTTTATCACCCATGGCCATCTCAACTGCAAGGAAGGTAGGAAATGTAGGCTGGCTATGTGTTCAGATAAACAGGAAAAGGTTGGATTCTGGTGAACAGCTAGAATTCCAGGCAACTGGGACTGTATGAGCTAGGATTAGGCCAGGCTTCTTGTGGAAGAGGACCCCAGCTAATAGTAACTTGAGTAACCTGGAGCTTCACTTTTCTTTCATATAAAAGAGGTCTGGATTTCAGCAGTCCAGGTCTGGTAAAGTGGCTCCACAGCCTCCAGGGACCCAGACCCCTACTGTATGTGTCCTCTACGGTCTTTCCATCAATCTAGCATCTGTCCTCATGAGCTGAAGTGTCTGCTTGAACATCAGATGCCACCCTCCTATTCCAGTAGCTGGAAGAAGGAAAAGAGGAATATGAAAGGCACATCCCCTGTACCTTTTCTGGAGATTTTCTTGAAGCCCCTCGCAACTCTTCCATTTACATATCATTGGAAAAGCTTAGTCATAGGGCCACACTCCTTTATTCTGGGGCCAGTATGCTATACCAGCACTGGGATTTTACTATGAAAATGGCATGGAAGATTGGGTATAGGAGGGCACCTGGTGCCTTTGGCTAACTGACTGCCTGCGGGCCCTCCTTCCCCTGTGCTGAGTGCGTGGGTTTCCCGGAGGAGCACTGTCCAATGGACGCGTCCAGCACCTCACTCTGAGGCTTGAAGTGCTGTTCAGTCGAGATATTGCCCACAAAAAAAAGATGAGTGTATGCCTTTGTCAAACCAGTAATGGTGGTTTGACTGTTTCCCTGATGGTTTCCCGTTGCCGAACAAGAGAAACAAAAATCAAATGTGTAGTCAGCAGCGGGTAGAGTGGGAAACACACAGTGGTCTCAGCAGCTATCTTGCACTTGAGGTTCGTTGGCATTGTGCAGCCCTGCTGGAGAGGATCCAGGACCTCCTTTGTCGGCCTCTCTCACAGCCCACCTTCTGTTCTTAGGCACCGAGTTTTGCCTTTTTGGGAGGTCTTCCTAGTCATCTCTCTTCTGTGGCCCGAGGCTCTGCTTTGAGGTTTTAAACTGCCCAGGCTATTTCCAGTCAGGTTGGAATTTTTTTAGAATGACATTTCTCTGAAAAATCTCATAGCCTTTTAGCTTATCTTCTTCCAATCAGTTTCACATGCGAGTAAGCAACCAAAGATCTTGTCTACATAGTTTTCAGCCTTGCCTTTTACTTTTTGCTCTGCCCTCCAACTTAATGTCTCTGTTTTGAGGCTGCCTGAAGCAGAGGGCTTTGGCATGATGGTTAATGTCCTTGCCAGCCAGCTACCTTTAAGTGGAGTACACCATCACCTCTCCTCGAAAGGGCAGTTTTCCAGCTACCACCTATCATGCTTCTGTTGGGGGCACAGAAGCAGGGCTGCAGACAGGCATCCCTTCCTCAGCATTGCTGTCTTCTTCCTCTCTCTGCTCCAGGCAGGATGGCTGTGGCCTGAGCTCAATCTCTCTCTCTCTTTCCCCATAGGATTTTGTTAAAAAGTTAAGAGGGAAAGAAGAAAACCATATCAGAGTTTAATCAGAGACACAGAAGAACTGGGCAGAACCAGCTACATAATATGCTGGACCCGGTGCAGAGTGAAAATGCAGAGCTCCCTGTTCCTATGCAACTGCACGGGTGGCATGCCTGGCAGAAGGAGGATCCAGTGGCAAGTGGAGCCATTTCCGATCCAGCTGCTGCTTCACTCCAAGGAGATGAGTCAGCTGATCCGTGATGGTGATGGTGGTGATCATGATGATGATGATGATGATGTGTGTGTGTGTGTGTGTGTGTGTGTGAGCCACAAGACAGCTGCTGCTCTTGCTGCCCTGCAAATCTCCCGAGAATCTCTCTTGTGGCCCACCCCAGTGGAAGCCTATTGGAAAGGACATTCTGGGGATAGAGCTCAGGGTGGGCCAGTTGATACATTATGAAGCCACCACAGTCACCATCTGCCAACATTCTGACTTCTTCCCACCAATCCTTCTATGCCCAGATGTCAGCTTATGGTCTCTCTTCCAAGAAACAACAGGCAACAGTGTTGTCAATGTATAATGCAGTTTGCTGCTGCATTACGAGGCCCTTATCCCCTTATCACCTGCCATCTGACCTCCTCCAATAATAGGCTCTGTCTCTTGCAGCATGACACTTCTGGGTATAAATTATTTATTTACTGGGTTGGATCAAACTGCATGTGACCTTGAACTCAAAATAACAATGGTTTAAATAAGACTCAGGGTTTCTGTCACACTGAGAATCTAGAAGTATGCAGTCTGGGGCTGAGAGGGGGGCTCAAAGGTCTTCAGGGGACCCAGGCTCCCGCTATGTTGCTGTCTCTTGCTATCTTGGGTCTTCCTAGTTAAGAATGACTGATGAGCATTAGACATTGTCCCTGTTATGAAAGAAGTTTCCCAGAATCCCAGACAGCACTTCTGCTCACATCTCATTATCTAGAATTTGGTCACTTGGCGACACTTGGCTGCAAGGGGGCTGTGATAGATATTCTATCCTGTGCTGAGCTACATATGGGATTCTATTACTGAAGAAGAGACTAGATATTGAGAGGCAACTAGTGCTTAGTCTAAGGAGTAAGACCAGCCCCATATTCGATTCAACCCCTCTTCTCACAAGCATAGGCTGGGCCTCACCCTCAGCAGAAGGACCATGTAGGGCACAGGCTGCTATGGACCTGGACCTGCGTCTTGCCTGGGTCTGAAAATCCCTTCCACAGCTCTCCACTTCCTGGATCAAATCCCCCTGGAAATCAATTTTGACTAAAGTCATATGAGGCTGCTAACTGTTTGAAACAGTTGGTCTTAGAATAACAAATGGTTTGCTGTAGACAAATAGATGCTGCTGATGTGGACTGCAGCGAAGAGGTAGGCCAATGGCTTTCAAGCATTTTTAGCAGTGGGAGCATTTCCTTAATTGCGTTCTGAACATGGCCCAGTACAACGAAGGGTCAACATCAAACTGCCTCTGAAACATGGGGGTCAGTTGGGCCTGGAGCTCAGCTCTGCTCCCTCTCGTCTTCTGTGCGGGCTTCCAGCTACCTCTGCAGAACTCCTTGGACTCTCTGGTGTCTCTTTTGAATGAGCGATTCTAGCCCAATTCCCTTGTTTTGCTGATAAGAATACGGAGGCCCAGGGAGGCATGACCTGGGCAGAGGCTGGAGGTGGGCCTGTTTCATCCTTGGCGGTGTGTGTGGTGTTGAAGTTAATGGGACTCACAGGGGCAGAGATCTGAGACGAGTGAGGCTCTAATGATGAGCTGACACAGCCTGTCAGTACATGGCCACACATGATGGAGATCTTTCTGTGTCTCACAGAAGGCCATCATTCTTTATTGACGGGGGCTGGGAGAGCTGAGATCATGCTGAATTGACTCTGACTGTTTATGTAATTTTTTTTTTTAAGTGAGAGGAGCAGATTTCTATTCCCTTTGAGAGTCTTGGAGATATAGGGAAGGCTGTGCTTTAATTTGTAATAGGGTAGGAAAGAGGCATGTTAGCAGCAGGCATCAGAATCTGTCTTAGGGAGAGAACTAGGTTTAGGAAAAGGTGGTGATAAGCCACTAGAGTGGAAGGTGAACCAGAAGCTGGGGGTTAGCAACTGGGCTGCCCCTGGCTGCCCCAGAGCTTACCTGTGTCCCCTCTTCTTGGGGATCCAGGCAACCTCTTGGTGCCTCTGCCTCTCTCTGCCATCTGCTCCACTCTCCCCTCTCTGTGTCCCTGCTTCCTCTGCTCAGTCTGAGTTTTATTCTTCTGTAACTCTGGCTCACTCATGGCCCACTGTGACTGCCCACCCAGGTCTCTTCTGTGATTGTGACCTTCCAGTTTCTGTTCCCTCTGCCCTTTATTTCTCATCCTAAGCATTTCTTAATTCAGATTCCTTAATTCAGATTCGAAGGAATGAGTTTATCTTTTTTTTTTTTTTCTCATAGGATCTTGCTCTGTTACCCAGGCTGGAGTAGAGTGATGTCATCATGGCCCACTGTAGCCTTGAACTCCTGGGCTCAAGCGATTCTCCCACCTCAGCCCCCTGAGTAGCTGGGACTATAGGCACACACCACCATGCCTGGCTCACTTAAAACAAACAAGCAAACAAAAAACCAAAAACACTTTTCTTTTGTAGAAATGAGATCTCCCTATGTTGCCCAGGCTGGTCTTGAACTCTTGGCCTCAAGCAGTTTTCCTGCCTCAGCCACCTGAAGTGCTGGGATTATGGGCATAAGCCTTCATGCATGGCCCCAGTTTATTTTAAAAATCAGATCATGAGTAGATGATCGGCCTAAAGAACTGCTGTCATTGGGTGGGTGCCCACTTGGTCTTTTCAGCAATGGTCCACAGAGTGAGAGGGAGCCGTGTGGGAAAACATAGTGACAGGAAGGACAAACATCCTGAAAGAGGATGAACGGTCCCCATGACTACTGTTTTTAGTATACGGCCAAGCTGAAACTAGTCTTCTATTGTCTTGGATTCAATTGTTTAAGAAATTGCTAGTTTGGATGGGTGCAGTGGCTCATGCCTATAAATCCCAGCACTTTGGGAGGCCGAGGTGGGAGGATCACTTGAGCTCAGGAGTTCAAGACCAGCCTGGGCAACATGGCAAAACCCTGTCTCTACAAAAAATGCAAAAATTAGCCAGGCGTGGTGGTGTGTGCCTGTGGTCCCAGCTACTCGGGAGGCTCAGGAGGATCACCTGGGCCCGGGGAGGTGGAGGCTGCAGTGAGCAGTGATCGCGCCACTGCATTTCAGCCTGGGCAATGGAGTGCGTCTCTGTCAACAACAAAAAAAAAAGTGAGAAAAAGGAGGAAATTGCTAGTTTTCTTGTGTATAGCCATATAGCAAGATCCTCCACGGCATTTTTTTCTGATCACTGACTTCATCAGAAAATGCTTTCCAAGCACCTGCAAGTGGTGCTGGATAGTTTTTTACAGAAAGAATTGAGGTCTTTTACTGTGTTTGAGTGCAGCCTGTTCTAAAAAATGCTGATCAGAAGAGACTCCTTTCTCTTTGCCAGGCCCTAACTAATTTATTAGTCATTTTATAAAGCAGGGAGCCCAAAATTTAGAAATATAAGAGAAGCATTAGGCAAACAAATTTTCCCAAGTTTCCTTTTATTTTCTGCTCAAGACAAGCATGAGTAGTAATCATATATTAGCTATACTAGCTCCTTAGCTCTTTGCAGGTAAGCGTTCTTTCCTTTTGACTGACATGGCCAAATGGTGGAGAGACTGTCTTGTATGAAGGTGAGCTCTCAATGATTTGGTGGTCCAGGTTTCAGCTCTGTGTGCCTGCCATGATGGCTGTTTTGAGACCTGCTTCCTCCTTTATAACTGGGGTGGTTGTGCACCTTGACACATGGTGAACTGTATTTCTGATCCCAACATTTCTGTGCCCCTTCCTGCGTGAGGTGCCTACATCCCTGTTTAGCCAATGAATTGTGAGCAGAAGCAAAGTGTGCCACTTTTGGGCAGAAACTTTCCACAGGGTTTGCCAAATTCTCATTGTCCTGCCGTGGTGACTAGAAAGCACGTTGACACAGAACTTCCATCAGCCTCTGTTGCTGGGTTACTTCCAACAACATGACCTATTCTGTTGTTTAAGCCGCTGACATTTTTGTGTGGTTTGTTACTGCAGCCTAACCCAGCCTACCTTGACTAACACAATATCCAATTAGTATTTATCCTTTCTTATTGGGACGTTGAGAAGTGTCCAAACTATTTTCCCCTAGGTGCCCCATTTTGCATTCCCACTAGCAATGCATGAGTGACACAGCTTCTCCATATCCTCACCAGCATTTGGTGTTATCACCATTTTAAAAAGCCATTCTAACAGGTATGGAGTGATAGTACACTGTGATTTAATTTGCATTTGCCATAGATGCTTATTTGCCACCTATCCATCCTCTTTGGTGAAATATTTCTAGCTTTTTTTTTCCTTTGGCCCATTTTCTTATTCATTTGTTTTTTCACTATTGAGTTTGAGAGTTTAAAAAAATATGTTCTAGACTCTAGTTATTCATCAGATGTGTGGTTTGCAAATTTTTCTTTCCCAGCCTATGGCTTGTCTTTTCACCCTCTTGACAGGGTCTTTGATAGAGCAGAAGTTTTTTGTTTTGATCAAGCCCAATTGATCAATTTTTCCTTTTATGGATCATGCTTTTGGTGTCAAATGTAAGAACACTTTGCCTAGCCCTAGATCCTAAAAGTTTTCTCCTATTTTTCTAAAAGTTTTATGTATTGAAGTCTGTGATTTATTTTGAGTTAACTTTGTATAAGATATGAGATTGAGATGGAGGTTCATGTTTTTAATTATGGATGTCCATATGCTCCAGCACCATTTGCTGAAAAGGCTATCTTTCCTCGCTGAATTGCGTTTGCACCTTTGTCAAAATCATTGGGCATATTTGTACAGGTCTATTTCTGGGTTCTCTGTTCTGCTCTGTTGATCTGTAAGTCTACCCTTCTGCCAATACCACACAGTCTTGGTTACTGTAACTAGAGGTGTGGAAATTGGGTAGGCTGATTCCTTCGCCTCTATTCTTCTTTTGCAAAATTGGGTTAGCTCTCCAAGTTTGTTTGCCTTTCTTATAAAGTTTAGAACACAGTTATCTATATTTACAAAAAATCTTGCAGAAATTTTAAAAGGAATTTTGACAAATCTATGTATCTGAGGAGAACTGATGTCTTTACTACATTGATTCCTCCAATCTATGAACACAAGAAATCTCTCCACTTTCTTAGATTTAAAAAATTTCTTTCCTCAGTCTTTTGTAGCTTTTAGCATATAAGTCCTATAATATTTTGTTAGATATAGACCTGTTTCATTTAAAAAATTTTTCTGAAATTGTGATAAAATATACATAACATAAAATATATCATTTTAAGTATACAATTCATTGGCATAAAGTGTATTCACAACATTGTGTAACTATTATCTTTACAAATTGCAAGAAATTTTTCGTCTTCCCAAACTGAAAAACTGTGCCAATTAAACAATAGTGCCCCATTTCCTCCTCTCTCCAGCCCTGGCGACCACCATGGCACTTTCTGTCTCTTTCAGTCTTTATGAATTCTGTCTCTAGGTACCTCATGTAAGTGGAATCATATAATACTTGTCTTTTTGTGACTGGCTTATTTAACTTAGCATAATGTCCTCCAAGTTTATCCATGTTGTGGTATGTGTGAAAATTTCTTTCCTTCCTGGGCTGAATAATATTCCATTGTATGTATATGTCACATTTCATTCACCTGTTTATACATTGATGGACACCTGGATTGCTTCCACCCTTTGGCTCTTTTGTGTAATGCTGTTATGAACAAAGGTGTGCAGATATCTGTTTGAGTCCCTGCTTTTACTTCTTTTGGGTATACACCCAGAGTGGAATTGCTGGATCAAATGGTAATTCTATGTTTAACTTTTTGAGAATCACCAAACTGTTTTCCATGGTGGCTGGACCATTTTACATTCGTATCAGCAGTGCACAAAGGTTCCAATTTCTCCAGATCCTTGTCAATGCTTGTTATTTTATGATTTTTTTCTTAAATATTAGTAATTCTAATGGGAATGAAGTAGTATCTAATTGTGGTTTTGATTTGCATTTCCTTAATGATTAGTGGCATTGGGCATCTTCATGTGTTTATTGGTTATTTGCATATTTTCTTTGAGGAAATGTCTGTTCAAGTCCTTTGACCATTTAAAAATCGGGCTGTTTGTTCTTTTGTTGTTGAGTTGTAAGAGTTCTTTATATATTCTGGATATTTACTCCTTATGAAATATATAATTTGAAAATATTTTGTTTCATTTATTGGATTGCTTTTTCACTACTTTGTGTCTTTTGATGTATAAAAAAATTTTAATTTTGATGTAGTGCAATTTGTCTACTTTTTCTTCTGTTGACTCTGCTTTCAGTATCATAACCAAAAAAAATCTTTGCCAAAGCCAATGTCATAAAGCTTTTCCCCTATGTTTTCTTCTAAGGGTTTTATAGTTTTAGTCCTTGAGTTTAGACCTTTGGTTCATTTCATGTTAATTTTTGTATATAGTATAAGTATGAGTACGACTTCATTCATTTGCACATGAATATTCAGTTTTCCAATACCACTTGTTGAAAAGGCTGTCCTTTCCCCATTAAGCAGTCATAGATTATTTGACTATGTATGCAAGGATTTATTTCTGGGATCTCTGTTTCATTCCATTGTTCTATGAGTCTTGAAATTAGGAAGTGTGAAACTTCCAACTCTGCTCTTCTTTTTCAACATACTTTGGCTATTTGGGGTCCCTTAGGATTCCACATGAGTTTTAGGATGGATTTTTCTGTTTCTGCCAAAAAAGCTATTGGAATTTTGATAGGGATTGCATTTAATCTGTAGATTGTTTTGGGTAATATTGTCGTTCAATCCATGAACATTGAATGTTTCCATTTATTTGTATTTTCTTTAATTTATTGTAGCAACATTTTGTAGTTTTTTGTGTACAAGTCTTTTGCCTCCTTGGTTAAATTTATATTTAAGTATTTTATTCTGTTTGATGCTATTGTAAATGGAATTTTTTTTTGCTACCCTGCTCAAATTGTTCATTGTTAGTGTATAGAAACAACTAATTTTGAGTACTGATTTTGTATCTTGCTACTTTGTTTATTAGTTCTAACAGTTTTTTTTTCTTTTGGAATCTTTAGGCTTTGCTACGCGTAAGATTATATCATCTGCGAACAGAGACAATTTTACTTCTTTATTGAAAATTTAGATGCTTTTTATTTTTTCTTGTCTAATTGCTCTGGAAGAAAATGATTTCCAGCATATATAATATGTGGAACATCTTTCATGCGCTGCAGAAGATGCAACGTGCTGGGTTTTCACTGCCTCCCTCTTTCATGCCCAAGTACGGGCTACATGGGCTCCTGCCAAATAGTGCTGTTGCTTTCAGAGTGATTCTCCTGAGACTTCTATCTCTGCTAGACGTTAGGACCAGAGAATGGGATTGAGCCATTGGACAGTACACAGCAAACTTCGCCTATCAAAGCCATTCATGTTTTAAAGAGGCATTCTGGTTGCATAATAGAAGTTTCTCTAACAGTTTTCCCTCACACGTGAGGACAGTGTGTTACATTTCAGGCAGCATGGAAGCTTCCTGGTTCTCTGCCAGGTTGTTTGGTTTTAGTGTTCTCAGAAAACTATTTTTCCTCAGCTTCTTGTCTCCTTAATCAGTTGGTTCCCAGGAATATTTCCTCAGGTGTATCTCCTGCAGATCCCTAAGGCTGAAACTCATTTTACTCTTGCTTTGTTCTTTAATCTGGTCTTGGGATTGGGTGGAGAAATTCTCCCAGGGACCATCTTTCTCCATATTTGCTTCCTATCCCAAGATCCCATCTGGGGAAAGCCTTCTTCAGCTCTGGCCCCAGGTTCATCATGCATGAGTCTTACTGAGCCTGGAGTTTGGGGAGAGGGGTCCCCTTGAATGAAAACTTGGGACTCCAGTAGGAGGATGGACCTTACTAGGCAGTCTCAACTGACCCCTTCCCCACCTTTAACTAAACTCCATGCATATGTTTGGCTTCTAGAATTTCTTGCTTAATTAACTTGGCCATTTGTTTATAATTTCAAAAAACTGAAGGAACCATTCATTATTATTAACTAATATAAATATTAATATTGACCATTTATTAAATAGCTATTTGGACCAGACCCCATGCTAAACACCTGATTTCTTTTTCATATTCACGTGTGTAGTTCAGTTATTATTTCTACTATACTAATGAGAAAACAGGCTTATTCAAAGTTAAGTTTCTTACCAAAGGTGACAGTGCTGAGTGTAGATAAGAATCTCGTTTGGCTGACTCCAAATTCACATGGATTCCCTTCAATGCCTCTCCTCTATCTATTGCTCTGGTTTAACTTGGGGAGCAGGAAGCAAGAGATACAACCAAGAGAATCCTGACTTGAGTAAGTCACTCTTCCTCAGAACTCTAACGAAGTTCCCAATATTCCATTTTGGAGTGTGATGCAAAACATGCCTTTTTCATCCAGTCTGGCTGGCTGATTATGATATAAGTTACCCAAATATATTTTAAAACTTTTCCTCCTTATTGAAATAAATATTTTATGTCTTACTTCACAGCATTGTTGCAATGACGAATTAAATTATGCTTGCTAAGAGCTTTGGATTCTTCAAAATCACTTTACAAATGCAAATTATTATGATTGTCATTCCCTCCACTGCTCCTGACTATGACCTTGGGCAAGTCATGTCATATCTACTTGCTTCCAGTTCTTTATCTGTGAAGTGGAGACAATAGAGACTGTTCATCCAGGTCGGGACTTCAACATGAGAAGTAATAAATTGTTGTATGCCCCTCAGAAGACCTAAATATTGTGATTTGACTATATCAGGATTAATATCAGTTATACACAATTGTAAGTTCCCTGGACACAAACCATGGACTTTATATCTTGGACAACTCTGGGTGTATTATTAATACTTAGAAATATTGATAAGGCTAAAAAAATACAGTTAAAACATTGTATACAGAGATCAACAACAATATATTTGTTTATTCATTTTATTTTATTCTTTTTTAAAAATTTTACTTTAAGTTCTGGGATATATGTGCAGAACGTGCAGGTTTGTTATGTAGGTATACACGTGCCATGGTGATTTGCTGCACCTATCAACTCGTCATCTAGGTTTTAAGCCCTGCATGCATTAGGTATTTGTCCTAATGCTCTCCCTCCTCTTGCCCCTCACCACCCCCACCCCGACAGGCCCCAGTGTGGGATAGAACAATATATTTAAAGGGCTAAGTTTAATTGTTTGAATTTTAGTGAAGGCAAATATGAACAACAGATCGTATCTCTTATAATTATAGTCCTCAGGGAAACACTGTAACCGTGCCCATTTGATAGAAGAAAACTCAGCCCCAGGGGACAGCAGCCACAGGAATCTTCCCAAGGCCATGAAACCTCTTTGGAAACACCTGCTGTTAATACTGCACAAGTGCTAGCAATATTATGTAAGGCAGAAAAAAAGAGGACATGATTTCTGTCTTCACGGAGTTCACGGTCTAGTGGGAAGAGGGGCATTCATCAAAAATGTAGAACTACAACCAAGAATGGTTAACAATGGCAATTCAAGAAACTGGGAGAGCATAAAATGGGATAGTTGACCTTGAGCAAGAGATGAAGAGTTGCCTTTTCCGAGGCAGTGGGGATTGACCTGAGCTCAGAGAAGAGTCACCTGGGCCAAGGGAAGGCAGGTGGGGAGAGCCCTGTTCTAGGCAAGTGGGAAGGGCTGGGCCTGGTGAGAGACCAAAAGAAGCCCAGTTTGCTTGGAGTGCAGAGTGAGGGAGCATTGTGTGAAATGAGGACAGGTGGCAGGGCTGGGAGGTGGGGTGCTGTTCCCCCTGAGGTCTGGGATCCCCAGGCCCAGTTAGGAATTTTCATCTTTATCCTAGGAGTATTAGGAAGCTATTGTTACTAGAATAAAGAAGGCTCTTAAGGGTGTGTGTGTGTATGTATGTGTGTAAAATGTGATCAGATTTATGTTTTGAAAAGATTACTCTGGCTATGTCATCCACTGCAGAGAAGAGGGAAGCCCTGCTGGATGCAGAAAGGCAAGTGAAGGAGGCATTTATAACAGTCCAGGCAAGAAACCATTGCCACTTGGACCGGGGGGGGTGACTGTGTGAGTGGAGAGAAGAGGATTAAGTCAAGGGCTATTTATGTAACAAACTCAACAGGACTTGGTTATGGATTGAGCATGCTTTGCATGGAAAGAAAGGAAGGAGTCCAGGCCGGGTGTGGTGGCTCACACCTGTAATCCCAGCACTTTGGAAAGCCGAGGTGGGCAGATCACCTGTGGTCAGGAGTTTGAGACCAGCCTGGCCAACACGGCGAAACCCTGTCTTTACCAAAAATACAAAAATTAGCCGGGCGTGGTGGTGGGTGCCTGTAATCCCAGCTGCTTGGGAAGCTGAGGCAGGAGAATCACTTGAACCTGGGAGGCGGAGGTTGCAGTGAGTCGAGACTGAGCCACTGTACTCCAGCCTGGGCGACAGAGAAAGACTTCATCTCAGAAAAAAAAAAAAAAAAAGAAAGAAAATAAGGAGTCCAAAAGTACTTTCGTATTCCTGGCCTGTACAGCAGGTTGAATTGGGAATGGACACCGAGAAGGAGGGTTGGGTTTTGGGTGAAAGAACATAATCATAACTCGAAGCACATTGACTTAGAGATCATGGTGGTGCCAAGCAGCAGCTGGGGAGACAGCTGTGCACTTAGAGGAGGGACCTGAGAGATAAACTCGTAGAGCTCCTGGTCAGTGGTGGTAACTGAAGCCCATAGGTGTGCTATGGCTTTCAGCTAATTCTGGTCCTAGCTCCTGACTTCTGTGCATCCTTTTTGTTTATTTTTATTTTTAAAATAAACAAATTATTTACTTATTTAAAAATTTTTGTTCGGAGGTACATGTGCAGGTTTGTTACATGGATGTATTGCATAATCCTGGGGTTTGGGCTTCTACTGAACCCATCACCGAAACAATGAATACAGGACCCAATAGGTAGTTTCTCAGCCCTTGCCTCCCTCCCTCCATCTCCCCTTCGGAGACCCCAGCGCCTATTGTTTTCATCTTTATGTCCATGTGTACTCATTATTTAGCTCTCACTTATAAGTGAGAACATGCAGCATTTGATTTTCTGTTTCTGTGTTAATTGGCTTAGGATGATGGCCTCCAGCCGCACCCATGTTGCTGCAAAGGACACGATTTCACTCTTTTTATGGATGCATAGTATTTCATGGTGTATATGTATTCTGTGGATTTATTTATTTTTTTTGAAACAGGGTCTCACTGTGTCACCCAGGCTGGAGTGCAGTGGTACAATCACGGCTCACTTGAAGACTTGAACTCCTGGGCTCAAGTGATGCTCCCACCTCAGCCTCCTGAGTAGCTGGGACTACAGGTGCATGCCACCATGCCCAGCTAATTTTTGTATTTTTTGTAGAGATGGGGTTTCGCCATGTTGCCTAGGCTGCTGTTGAACTCCTGAGCTTAAGTGACCTGCTGGCTTTGGTTGCCCAAAGTGCTGGGATTACAGGCATGAGCCACTGCACACAGCTGGATGATTATTTTTTTAAGAGACAGGGTCTCCCTCTGTCACCCAGGCTAAAGTAAAGTGCAGTGGAGCGATCATAGCTCACCACTGCCTCAAACTCCTAGGCTCAAACAATCCTCCCACCTCAGCCTCCCTAGTAGCTAGAACTACAGGTGTGAGCCACCATGCCTGCTGTTCTGTGGGAGCCACCATGCTTGCTGTTCTTTGTCTTATCACTTCTGCTCTGTGTGTGTGTCTGTGTGTGCCTCTGCATGTGTGAGCATGTGCAGGATAGTCTCCAAAACTTCCGTTCAGACTTGCAGATGGTTTGCAGTGAATTAATTTCTCTTGCCATTGCTTAGACTTTGGAGGGGAAAAGGCAGGATAGGTTAAAGAGAGGGAGGGAAAGGAACAGGTAGGAGAAAACAATTGAGGGAGGACCAAAGAAAGGGAATCTGATTTTCTTAAGGAAGGGACTGCATCATGCTTGTTCTTTAACTCTAGTCATGCATAAAATTGCCTCTGCATCTTCTAACTTCCTTCCAAATGAAATGCTCGATACTCCTTAATGTGTTTTCTGACAGTCCTAAGAAAGGTCTGCTCTCTGATCAGGTCTACAGGTGTTTTGAGTGCCTGGCATGGCTTGGCCCATGTTGGGGTCAGGATATGCCTGGTGGGGCAGGTCCAGGTCCCAGGCTGAGTCTGACAGGCAGGCATCTGGAGGGACAATGTGGCCCAAGGACTAACCTGGGGTTTAGTGTGGAAGGCAGGAGAAGGCTGGAGGGCAGGGGAACTTCACTGGAGCAGGACAAATGAAGTAAAATACAGACAAGGAGGAGAAATAGCCTGCAGAGTGGGGCAGGAAGAGAATATCATCAGAGGGAGGCAGGCCCCAGTGGGGGCAAGGCTGTGGGCAGGGACCAGGACCCACTGGAAAAGGACTGGTCTCGAGTGATACTTGCTGTTGAGCTCACCTGTTTAACATGCACTCCCTGATCTTAGATGGGCAGGGTTGTTCTTGAGACTTGGGGAGGGGTGGAGCCTAGTTCCATGGGACAGTGGTGGCTTCTCCTTTGGTTCATGGTTAAAGGGAAATACATCAAAATGCTAACCTTGTTTATCTCTGAAACTGTGTAGTTTTTTTTAAGTCTATCATTCAACAAATCTGTAAGGTAGTATTAAAATCAGAAGCCAAGATAGTCTGAAAGATTAGGAGGCTGTTGGTAACTTTATTGCATTTTAATGTTTTAGCGCAAGTTCATGCATTATCAACCTCCTTTCCTAGCTGTATTCCTCACATAGGCAATTCTAAAGAATTGGCTGCTTGCTATGTTTTCTATTCTAAAATATTTACGTTTAAAACCAGAAAAAGCATTGAGATGATTATAGTCGTTAGCAGCAGAATGCAGTTGCTGAGAGCAGTTCGAAATGATCTAAAACAGTCCTCCAGGTAGATCATCATGTTTTAAATTTCATTTCAAGTTTTTCACATCAATCTGGCTGAGGAGCAGCCACAGGTGCGTAAGATGACAAACGCTCTCTGACCCCACTTAGAGCCTGGAGCGGGGATGGTAAGTTTGCATGTGTGTGTGATCTCCAGGGCTACTCACAAGGCTGTGAGAGACATGTCATTACCCTCATTTTATAGATGAGAAAATCAAAGCTCTGAGAAACTCAGTGATCCAAGGCATGTAAAGATTTAGCTACCAGGATTTGAACTTGAACACACATCGTCTGACTTGGTATCCTGTGCCCTTTTCTTTCGATTTATTTTCCCTCTTTTTTTTTTTTTTTGTAGAGATGGGGTCTCGATCTGTTGTCCAGGCTGGTCTTGAACTCCTGAGCTCAAACAATCTTCCCACCTCAGTCTCCCAAAGTGCTGGGATTACAGGTGTGAGCCACCGTGCCCCGACTGTGCCCTTTTCATTCTATCTCCTTTTTTTCTCTTGCTTATTAATATTTATCACTGACCTTTTTTCTTTTAAAAGGATTTTAAATGGCTCAGAGGTAAATATGGCTATCATAAATTCAATGAGATAGAGCTTCTTATTATTTTCTTTCCCTCAAATCAGGAAAAAGAAGAATGGGGTTCCTGTGAGCAGTGCCCCCCAGCAGCACGGCCCTTCTCTCCTCTGTCTGCCTACGCATTCTCCAGGCACTTGTACCTCCCAATGGCTTCCTGCTTCTCCCCACCCCAGATTCAGATGCATGATGCATTTGTTAGTAACCCACTGCCAGGCACTTGCGAGTGCTTTTACAATATCCTTCATCCAATCTGATGAAACTGGATTATGTTGGGGGAAATGTTTACTGAGATAATAGGAGTAGCATCCAGCATTAATTTCAGTCTCTCTCTCTCTTTTCAAAGGCATTACAACCCATGCACATCTAACTTGAATTGTAGGGCAGGAGCAAATGGCCAATACAGTGGATACCTTGCTGTCCACCGTACAGCGTGGTTTACACACACTATACAAAGTGGAAGCAATGCATCCACATTGGCTGAAGCCTTTCACCAGTATATTGTTCCAGCTCTCCCTTCCATCCTCTGCTTGATCACTTCTTTTTAAATTTCAATCCTTTTAGTTTCCTTTTTCTTTCCCTTTACTCTCATCACACATTTAATTTCCATAGTTACATAATTTACATAACTTAAGATCAAATCTTTGCAGGTTTTAACATTCTACATTTCAGTGCAAGCCCAAGCCAGAATACGGAATTAAGTGGAATAAGACCTGTCCCTACCAAGGTGCTACATGTCCTTTTGATTAATGACCAGCATTTTCTTCTTAAAATACAGGTAATTTTCACATGTTCTTATAAGATAAGTATTGCTGTCCTCACTTTGCAGTTGGGGAAAAATAAGAGATAGCTAATCCATCCAAGGAAAAAGTGATCAGAATATCATTTCTTAAATTGTAGAGAAGACTAGGCTTAGTGGAAGCGCACATAATGTGTACACTACGGTTTAATGTCCACTAACATCCAGCCAGCTGCTGTTCTAGCTCCCAAAGTGTTGCTCTCCTAGAATGATGGGGTGAAACCCATTCCTTCTGTGGTTAACAGGTGAGCAATGCAAAGGAGATTTCTGAGACTTTTTCCAAAGAAGACATTCAAGTGGCCAACAAATATGAAAAAATGCTCAACATTACTAATCCTCAGAGAAATGCAAATTAAAACCACAGTGAAATACCACCTTACGTTAATTAGAATGGCTATTATTAAAAAGTCTAAAAAACAACAGATGTTGGTGAGGATGTGGAGAAAAGGGAAGGCTTATAACACTGTTGGTGGGAATGTAAATTAATACGACCTTCATGCAAAACAGTATGGCGATTTCTCAAAGAACTGAAAACCAGAACTACCATTAGATCCAGAAATTTCACCACTGGGTGTCTCCCCAAAGGGAAAAATCATAACATCATAACATCAAAAGGACACCTGCACTCGTATGTTTATCACAGCACTATTCACAATAGCAAAGATATGGAATCAATCTAAGTGTCCATCAATGGAGAACTGGATAACAAAATGTGGTACATATACACCATGGAATACTACTCAGCCAAAAAAAAAAAAAAAACAGGAAATCATGTGTTTTTTTCAGTGACATGGATGGAACTGAAGGCCATTATCTTAAGTGAAATAACTCAGAAAGTCAAATATTGCATGTACTCCCTTATGAGTAGGACTAAACAATGAGCACACATGGGCATAGAGAGTGGAATAGTAGACATGAGAGACGACGAAAGTTGGGAGGGTGGAAGGGGGTGAGGGTTGAAAAATTACCTATTGGGTACAACATACACTATTTGGGTGATGGGTGCACTAAAAGCCCAGACTTCACCACTACACAATATGTGCGTGTAAGAAATCTGCACTTGTATCCTCTAAATTTATAAAAAATTTTAAAAAGTGGGCCGGGCATAGTGGCTCACGTCTGTAATCCCAGCACTTTGGGAGGCTGAGGCAGGAGGAACATGAGGTCAGGAGATCGAGACCATCCTGGCTAACACAGTGAAACCCTGTCTCTACTAAAAATACAAAAAATTAGCCGGGCGTGGTGGTGAGCGCCTGTAGTCCCAGCTACTCGGGAGGCTGAGGCAGGAGAACGGTGTGAACCCGGGAGGCGGAGCTTGCAGTGAGCCGAGATTGTGCCACTGCACTCCAGCCTGGGCAACAGAGCGAGACTCTGTCTCAAAAAAAAAAAAAAAAATTAAAAAGTGAACAAAAGGGTAAAAGAGTTTTGCATTTACATGCATTTAGGAAATTCTGGACTTCATGGAGCTAAATATCATCTCCTTGCTACAGGACTTCTCAGAGCCTTAACATGCACAAATGCATTGTGAATCTGCATGGGGAGTTCCACCAATGCTGTATGTCTCCGTGAGCTACCTCACCCCACCCCACCCCACCCCACTGCCCTATTCTGTTATCTGCGGAGAGTTCTGTGTAACACATTTCAACATGCTTGGAGCATGTGCATCTATTGACACTTCTCTAAATCAAAGGTTTCTTATCATCATCAGTGCACAAAAGAAGGATTTTGAAAATTCTTAGCCTTGAGGAGAGATGGTTCCTGATCCCAGGGATAAGATTTGGTGTAGCCATGCCCTGTGAGCCCTGCCTGACGTGCCATCAGGTAAGGGAGGAACGCAGTAGGGAGGGGCACTCCCCTGTCCTGAGATAGCTCTGAGCCCTTGCCTGCCAGCACTCTTTTTCCTAGATACGTGGAGAAAAACGAAGGAACTAAGGACAGTGAGACAAGGAGGAGCTGCTGCTTCAGGCTTATCTGACACTGGTCAAGGACACCGAGAAAGTCTCTTTCTCAGGTATTGCCTGTGGAGCTTGGGAAGGAACTCGTGACCCTGGGCTCTCCTACATCATCCTGTGAACAGGGCCACCAGTGTTTGCAATGTTAAATCATGAAGTCCCCAGCCTACAGAGCAATCGCCAAAATGATGAGTGGTTATACGGCAGAAATCTGAGTTCTAGGATGCAGGAGACAGCTGCAGTATATCTGGCATGTCCACAGACACCAACTGGTCTAGTTTTGAAAAGGAAGCCCTAGTCTAGCCCTCAGCAGGACCAGCCAATGGTCCTCTCCCATCTCCCACTGACCTCCCCAGTGACCTCAAGGCAAGTTCTTCTGCGTGGAGACTGGAAAATCCTGTCGTGCCCTAGCATCGCTTTAAGAATTTAAGAGTTTCTCAGATTGAAGTGCATGTGCTCTGAGGAGAGTGTGTGCGCAAAGTTACATGACAAATGTTGCAATTTTAACTTGCAGATTAAAATATACATATTTTTATACGAAACCAAACATACTACGACCTAGAATGAAAAATGAATGAGTTTTCACGATTAAATATGAGACTTTCGTGAAATTTTGTGGGGCTCTGTTGGTTTTATCTTAGAATAAGGAAAGGAGTTGGCTTATTGTCTACTATTAGGACTCTTGGATGAAAAATCTTAGAATTTATATGTCTAATCCATACTTATTTTATAACTGAAGAAACTGAGGCTCAAACAGATGAAATGTCTTGTTCTAATCCCCCAGACTGGTAGACATGTTAGTGTCCTACCCAATAGCCATTCCCATTCTGACACCATCCCCTTTATTAAACTACAGAGCCCCAGTTATGTTTGGGGCACCAATGTGTCAGGCTGCAAATACTGGCTTTCTCAGAATCCCTTGTAGTTAGGATGAGCCATGCAGTACAGTTCCGTCCAATAGCACATAAATGGAGGTTTCCGGGAAAATTTTGCTTCCTTGACTCAGATGTCCCCTCCTTTTTCTTCTCTTCTTCCTTCATATTTATGTCTGAAACATGGAAGTGAGATCTGGAGGGGCTGCAGCCATTTTGTGCTAGAAGGCAACAAATGTTCAGGCTGAATGCCATCATGCTGGGAATGGTGAGGCAGGAATGACTTTTGGTCCCTGACAGCATGATTGAGCAGCTCTCCAATTCTGGACTGCCTAGACTCAGACTCCATGATATGTGAGAACAATCAACACCTGTTTTTGAAGCCCTTTTAATTGTTTCCGTTATAAGAAAATGATTTCCTGACTGATATGCCCAGTCATCTCATTTAGGAAGACAGGATTTTGGTCTTATAAAAAATGTATAGGTATATAAATATATCTACAGAGAAATTGTTTATGGACCTTCTCATTTATAAAAGCATTCAAGTGATTAATAATATTGATGATAAGATTTCTAATTAATATATCCTTTTATTTCTATGTGTTATAGTTGCAATTCAATATTATTTCAAAGAAAACTAATAATAATTGTATAGAGTACAATATTTTCAAAATGCTTTGTGATGTATACATGGTTTCCTTCACCACACTCATTCCACCATCTAGACTAAACTATAAGGAATTCTCTAAGGAATGAGGGGGTTGGTACCACCTGCACCACTGAAGTTCCTAAGGAAGCCATGATGGAGAGTAAATCCCCAGTCTCACCAGAGAGTAAGGGGAAGGGGAAGTCCTTTCGGTTTGGAAAGAAGGGATAGTAATCAGTCAAGTGTGAGGATCCTGACTCTTTTTATTGAGGTAAGCAGCCAAGGGAGCCTATGGTATGGTATAGTTTGGATATTTGTTCTCTCCAAATCTCATGTCAAAATGTAATCCCCCATACTGGAGATGGAGCCTGGAGGGAGGTGTTTGGGTCATGGGGCAGATCCCTGGATAAATGGCTTGGTGCCATCCCTGCGGTAATGAATGAATTCTTGCTCTATCAGTTTACACAAGACCTGATTGTTAAAAAGAGCCTGGCAACTCCTCCTCTTTTTCCTTCTCTCTCGCCATGTGATGCCTACTCCTCTTCCTCTTCCGTCATGATTGGAAGCTCCTTGAAACCCTCCCCAGAAGCAGATGCCAGCACCATGCTTCCTGTACAGCCTGCAGAATCAGACACCAAATAAACCTCTTTATAAATTACTCAGTTTCAGGTATTCCTTTATAGCAGTGCAAAATAAACTAATGCAAGGTTTAAGGTAGCTATCCTAGACAGGCCCGAAGGGGAAGCAACAGGAAGAGGGCCTTTTCCTCTGTCTTTTCTATGGGACACCGGGCAGACTCCATTTCAGAGAATGTGCCCTACGGCAACATGGGGCAGTCTTGGCAGCAAATAAATCGTTCATGTGTTAAGGCAGTGCCAGCTGAGGGGCCTGCCCAAGAGCTGCCATGGCAAGGCATGGGGGACCCCATAGCAGAGATTGTGGGGTGATGGCCTAAGCCAGGGCTAGCTAGACTGTACACCTGATATTTAGAGGTGGCAGAAATAGGGCTAGGTCAACGAGAAAGGCCCACCAGGTGCAGACTCTGAGAGGGGCTGACCACCGCCTCCCCATGGGAGACCAGAGTAGCAAGTACCAGGGGAGTGTCTGGTGGTAGAGCCCAAGAAGGCTCCTGAGGAGGCCTGGAGGGCCCAGGAAACACACACGGCAGGCCTGTGGGCCCAGGGGTCCTCAGCACCCTGCAGATGCATCCACTGACCCCAACAGACTCCCAGATGTCACTGGCCAGCAGGAGCAAGAAACTCTAAAGGTGGGGTATTTACCTCAAAGAAATGGGGTTACCCTAAGAAAGATGGCTTGAGACGACACCAGGTTGAGCTTCCTTTATTTGGTGGATTTATGTCCTCTTCTCTCTATCTTTGCCCCTCAGCAATCCCAATTCTGAACAGGAATATGGGTGTCAGAGCAAATTCAAAGCAGTTAGAGAAAATTAAGAGTGCCAGTTTTTTTCCTGCATATCTGAGTTTGATGTGATACGTTCTCACTGCTGTCACATAATCTTCCGTAATTTGGGGCTCTAGCACAAAATAAAAATGGAAAGATAACAAGGAAGAAAGGGAGCTGGGTGTGGTGTGCGCCTGTTAATCCCAGCTACTTGGGAGGCCGAGGCGGGAGGATTGTTTGAGCCCAGGAGTTTGAGGCCAGCCTGGGCAACATAATGAGACCTTGTCTCAAAATTAAAAATTAATAATAATAAAAAGAAGTAAAAAAGAAGGAAGGAAGAAGATAATGTCTCTTCTCAATGCTGCAGCAGAGGAGGGAAACACAATTCCAAATGGTGGGCTCGGAAGAAGCTAAGTCCTAGAGGCAGGCAGGAGAGCACGATTTTCCTTCCCAGATAAATGAAAGCCAGGGCTGTACTTGCTGAAAGGGCTGGGGAGGCCAGGTCAGGGCTGTTCTGTGCTCTGCTGTGGCTTTGAGAGTTGCATTCTATCGTTGGGAGTTGGAGGGGCTGGAGCGGCCGGCAAGCCAGGGATGAGGAGAGAGAGTTGGTGCCCACCCTGCTCTGGCAGAGCTCCAGATTGGGCATCTCCTCCCTTTGTGTTTTGTTTTCATCACTGGCTCTCAGCAGCCCCTCTGCCGCTCCAGCCCCAAGCCCTGCATTGCCATAGTAACACTCTCCCACCTCTTGGTGTTTGAAGTGTGTTTTCCTTCCAGGGCCTCTGTTCTTCCCTGATCCATTTCATCTGTTGTTTGCCACCCCTCTGACTGTTGGGCCCGTGTCTGCAGCTTTTATATCTGGCTCCAACTCCCAAGCCATTTTTTTGTTGCCTCCACTGCTGGGGCTGACAGAGTTGCCTTCATCCCTCCTGGTGAAAAAAAAACAAAACAGTACAAAAAACCCAGAAGCCTGACACCCACCTAGCTCAGTGTCTGCTCAACTGTGAACGAGGAGGAGGGGATGGAGTCGAACTGTGTGGAGCAGGCTCTGCTCCGGATGCACCGATGGACACCCCAGGGGCAGAGCTGCATGCCTGGTGGGAGGTGTTAGGGTCCCACTGCCGTTTGGTCAGTGAGAGCGGCAGATCGACTCACATTCACATCTCCAAAACGGTGATTATTGTATGGGGTTGCATATCAGTTAGGACCCAATTTGGCTACAGTTAAGTGAAAACTAAATGAACAGTGAATTTACACAAATAGGGCAGTTTCTTTTTCAGGGGGTAGACAGAGCCAGGCTAGCGTGGCAGGTCTTACCTGGACATCAGGTGCCTTCCACCTTTGGCTCCACCATCTCAGTGTGGGGCATCCCTTCTTAAGGTAACATGATGGCCCAGGTTGCCTGCTGGACTTCCAGCCATTTCATCTGCATTCCAAGGAGAAGGTGAAGTGGTGGGGCAAAATAGCTCTCCTCATCAGTCTGTCCCCACTTCTAAGGAGCCCCCTCCAGAAGTCCTTCCCAACACACTTCCATGTCTAATTTCCTAAAACTTAGTCCCATGGCTGCACCTGGTATGAAGGAGTCCTGGCGAAGACACGCTTTATAGCAGGCACCTTGCCACCTCCAATGATGCAAGGATTTTGTAGGGGAGAATGCATGTTGACTAGGAACTGTCACACACTTCCCCATCAGCAGATGGGAAAGATGTGTGTGGGTGCTGTGGTCTGAATGTTTGAAACTGCCCCCAAACTCATATGTTGAAATCCTTATCCCCACAGTGATGGTATTAGGAGTTGGGGCCTCTGGGAGGTGATTAGGTCATCAAGGTAGAGCCTAATGAGTAGGATTAGTGCCTTCATAAAAGAGACCCAAGAAGGTGCTATCAATACACCAGGAAGAAAGCCCTCACCAGACACTGAATCTGCAGGTGCCTTGATCTTGGACTTCCCAGCCTCCAGAACTGTGAGAAATAAACTTCTGTTGTTTACAAGCCACCCAGTCCACAGTATTTTGTTATAGCAGCCCAAGGGAACTAAGGCAGTCGTGGACTTCAGACTTCTCCCAACAGGCTGGAGCTCCTGGGAGTATTCGCACACATTGCTTAAGCTTTTCCTTCTGGAGAGGGGCCATTCAATGTTTCTATCCAAAAACTGGGGAGTGGTGGGAGCCTCCAGGCTGCGAGTGCAGAGCACTGGGTGGCAGGCAGGGAGTGCAGATGATCCCTCTGCAAAGAACTTAACGCCATTCAGACAAACCTCTTACAGTAGCCTCCAGCAGTGAATGTGCTGTCTGTGCACGGCAGCAGCAGGGGGCTGGGTCAGATAGCGGTGACCCGGATGAAGGATTAACAGAATCTTCTGGGAGCAGTGGTGTATGCCTGGAGTCCAAGCTACTCAGGAGGCTGAGTTCGGAGGATCTCTTGAGTCCAGGAGGCTGTAGTGTGCCATGCTTGCACCTGTGAAAAGCCACTGGACTCCAGGCTGGGTAGCACAGTTAGATCTCAGCTCTAAAATAAATGAAAATAAGGAAATGAATTTTAAAAACTAGAATTCCACCCACTAGACCAGCATCCAAAGGCTTTTGTTTCACTTTTGTTTATTACCAAGATTTGTAAGTTTATAGCACATTAAAGGATGCAGAAGCACCTGTCTGTAAGAGAATTCTACATGCTCCTTCTCCAGGGCCCTGCTTGCCTAGATATGGTACACATGTTCCATGAAGGAAGTGACGGTCCCACTGTAGAGGTTTGTCATCAAGAGAGGAGGTAGGAATGGAAAACAGCCCCTTAAGACTCTGCCTGAACCGTCCATGAGCCCGTGATGCAGGATGTTCAACCTGAAAGGAAACTGGAGATTACATGGCCCGCTCCCTTCATCTTCAGATGAGAAGCCGAGGCCTTGCTAGGCTACATGAATAGTCCACAGATGCTGGATTGTGGGCTCTGGGACTGGGACTGCCAGGCCTTCCTGTCCTCCCCTGCTCATCGATGGTCACCATGTTTGTGTATCTTTGGAGGCTAAACTCTGGAGCCCTGCTCTTCCCCTAACTTGAGGTGAATTCCACCTTGCCAGTTCTCATCAGCGCTGGCTTTATTATCAGCAACACGGCAATAATGTCTCTGGGAAGCAATCCCTGGCAGAAATAGAAAATGCATGTACTAATGACTTGGCCAGCATGACAGTGGTACCTAAATGCTAAGTATGAATTATTAATTTGATGTCTTTGGTGGCAGGCCATGCACTCTGCAAGGTGCCAGAATCATTGCTTCAAGAGGAGCTCTTAAACCGAGCTTGCAGCTGCGTGGAATCCGGCAGGCTCCATCTGGCAGCCCCTGGGGCCTCAGCCTTGCTGCCAGGCGGGATTTCTGTGTGCTGAGTGTTGCCTTGGCTCCCCTTCCTCCAGCAGGCACACTGGCATGTGGTTTGCATGGCCGGACAAGCCACCAGGTGGCTCCTGATGTCCTACCTGGGCGGTCACAGCAACAGGTGGCTGCACACAGAGAAAGTTGAATTACTCCACCGGGACCTTGACTTGGCTGCCCATGAGAATGTTTAGCTGCCTGTTGTCCAGGCTTTTCTTTGTCTTGCCACATGGGTTTTTACTCATTCATGAAAAAAGAAATCCTAGTTTGCCCCCCATATTTAGTGACTCAGTGCTAAAGAAAAAGCCATCAGAAACTTCTGGACCCTTTATTTGTTCTTATGACTAAATCCCTCTATGCACATAAGCCTGTCTTGCTCTGAATTTCTTTTACAAAATGGAGACTTGGCAGCTGATCTAGTTGGTGGGTGTTCTGGGAAGGTACATTTCGGAGTGACTCTTGCTGTGAGGATTCCCTGAGTGTCTTTAGATATTTATTGGGTGCCTGACTCTAGGTCAAGAATCTGCCCTGAGAGGCTTATGCTGTAAGGATGTGTGCTAAGTCAGGAGCCAGTAACTCCACACAGGCAGGGTATGAGCGCTGCTCAGAGACGGGAAGGGGGCAGATCCCACTCCAGATTGCAAGCAATGAGGAGGTGCCCCACAGAGAGATGACTGGGCTGTCCCTTATGGCATGGATCAGAGTTTGACAAACAGGAGTGGCGGGAAGAGGGCATCCAAGAAAGAAGGAACCTGGAGAGTAAATCAGTCGGGGTTCCCTAAAGAAACAGCAACAACAATAGGTAGTGTGCATGCCAGGGTGGGTGGGTGAGATTGGTTTTAAGGAATTGGATCATGAGATAATGGGGGCTGGCAAGTTCCAAATTTCCAGAGCTAGCCAGAGGCTAGAGACCAAAAGAAGAGTTTTTGCTTGAGTCTGAAGGTCATCAGCTGGCAGAATTCCCTCCCCTTGGGAGAGGTCTGTGGTTTTCTTAAGGCCTTCAACTGACTGGGTGAGGCCCACCCACATTATGGAGGATAATCTGCTTTACTCAAAATCCACTGATTTAAATGTTATCTCATCTAAAAGATACCTTCACAGCAAGATCTAGAATAATGTTTGTCCAAACAACTGGGCACCACAGCCTAGCCAAGTCGGCATATGAAATTAGCCATCACAGCTAGGTGCAGTGGCTCATGCCTGTAATCCCAGAGACTCAAGAGGCTAAGGCAGGAGGATTGCTTGAGGCCAGGAGTTCAAGAGCAATCTGGGCAGCATAGGGAGACCCTATGACATTCAACTTGGTCCCTGGCTGAAAGATGAGCTGGGAGCTTGCCTTTGGAAGAAGGCAGCAAGGACCCTTCTACACCAACCATGGAATGAAGGCTGGGAAAACTGACTGGGCCAGCGTGGGCAGGTCCTCCTCCTCAGAGAGGAGCAGGTAATCCAAACCAAGTCAAAGCTGGCATAGAAAATTCAAGTATGATCCAGTGTTCAAGACTAACCTGAGCAACGTGGAGAGACCCCTCAAAAAAGGTGAAAAAAAATTAGCCAGGTGCAGTTATGCGTGCCCGTTGTCCTAGCTACTTGAGAGGCTGAGGTGAGAGGATTGCTTGAGCACAGGAGTTTGAAGCTGCAATGAGCTATGATCGCACCACTGCAATCATAGCTGTAGCAGCCAGTTGGGTGACAGAGTGAGGCCCTGTCTCTTAAAAAATAAGATAAAATGAAATTAGCCATCGCAGAGAGTATGTGATGTTTTGGGGGAAGAGACGTGAGACATCCATGTAGCGGGGTAGAGACGGGACAGGTGGGGGCGCTGGGCCCTCTAGAGGGATGAGGGTGGAGGGCATGCCTCCCGGGGCCAGGTTTCTGAAGACAGAGGATGAGCAGTGTGCTGTGAGTCAGGGGCTGATCCAGTGCTGGTGTGGGACAGAGTAAGGGAGGCCGTGGGGTAGTCTAGGGAAGAAAGTCAGGAGCAGCAGCCATGGAAAGTAGTGATGAAGGTGAGTGACTACTTCAAGAACAAATCTACAGGAGGACTTTTACCAAACACCCCTCTGTCTTAGGTCACTCACCTACTCTGAGGGCATTGTGAGAAGCAGCCACATGATACTTTGGATTTTCCCCATGTCATCGTAAGCTCTGTCTGAAACTTCACATGCATATGTTCATTTCAGTTCTGGCAGCGGGAATAACTGTGCTTCTCTTTGAGCAGCGATTCGTATCTTCGAAACATTGTGACCAGTGCCACTGAGCATGCCTCCCTCTTTGTGTTGGCTGCTCAGCATCTCAAAACCAAGCTTGGAGCTCCTCCTTAACAAGGGGCATCGTGACGTAGATTTGTTTGTGTCATATCCCTGGCTTTATCTTATTTTTCTTGTCCTTGTTTTCTCTCCCCTTGTCCTCACCTAACTGTTTTTAAGTCTTGTTTTAACGTATGCATCTTTGCAAGTTACTTCAAGTCCTCTTTGAAAGCAAGTGGAGTAGACAGATTAGCAACCAACTGGACTTGACAACTGATGGCAGGGCAGGTATGACTTTGGAGACAAAGCTGATTCCAAGTCTTCACTGGAGAAAAGAAAATCTGGAAGCAGGCTGATCTAGGGATGATTCTCAAAATGAGTTCCATTTTAGGAGGGAAAGTTCTGCCAGACTTCGCCAATCCCAGCTGCCCAAACAATGTCTGCTCTCTGAAGCTTAATTCTTCCCGGGCTCTGGAGAAATGAGAGTCAGACCATGTGTCTTAGTCTGTTTTCTATTGCTTATAACAGAATCCATGAAGCTAGGTAATTTATAAAGAAAAGGGATTTATTTCTTATATTTATGGAGGTTGAGAAGTAGAAAGTTGAGGAACTACATCTGGTGGGGGTTTTCTTGCTGGTGAGGACTCTCTGCAGAGTCCCAAGGCAGTATAGAGGGTCACATGGTGAGGAGGCTGAGCATAGTAGCTCATATCTTTTTTCTTCTTCTGATAAAGCCACTAGTCACACTCCTGTGATAACCCATAAATCCATTAACCCATTAATCTATTAATCTGTGGATAGATGCATCCATTTATTTGGGGAGGACCTCACGACCCAATAACTTCTTAAAAGTCCCACCTCTCAGTACTGTCATATTAAGGATTAAATTTCAACATGAGCTTTGGAGGGAGGGAACATTCAAAAGACAGCACCTGGAGTGATGTCCATTTGAAGCCCACTCCTTTCTAGTGGTATGCAGGATTGAGCTGCAGTCCTTCCAGGGTCTGTGTGCCAGGCCCTTGGGCAAATGCAGACCTTCAGCCTCTTTAAACACACCCGCTGCATACCTAAGAGCCAGGCTCTTCTGCCCTGGCTCTCTGTTGTGCCCTCTTGTGGAGTTCCTGCCAGTCCCTTTGCCTTCTGAGCTGGACTTTGCTCCTGGCACCCTTCACCTCATCTCAAATGATTCTGCCTGGTTTATGAAGTGGATGAACCAAATATTGATCTGCTATATCAGAACTTCCTGGACTGTGAATCCCAGTGTGCATCAGACTTGAATTTTCTATGCCAGCTTTGACTTAGTTGGGATTACCTGCCTTTCCCTGAGGAGGAGGACCTGCCCATGCTGGCCTGGTCAGTTTTCCCAGCCTTCATTCCATGGTTGCTACAGAACGGTCCTTGCTGCCTTCTTCCGAAGGCAAGCTCCCAGCCCATCTTTCAGCCAGGATCAAGCTGAATGTCATAAGTTTGAGGTTCCAAAGACAATCTAGGTTGAGACATGTGCCAGGCAGTTAGGAAATAGGAAGCTACAGAGAATGAGGACACTGAATTATATTGATTTGGGAGATATCCTCATGGAAGGAAGTAACTGTAGGCAGGGGCCCACATTAAATCACTCAAAGACTTATATTGGGACACTAAGGAAAGGAGGACAAGGAGATAACCTTGGGACAACAACTTTATTATGGGGACAGGAGAAGAAAGGAGGTCAGTGAAGTATCATAGATGGTGGGCTCTAGAAGATCAAGGAGAGCCCTTGGGGACAGGAGCTGCAGGGAGCTAAGAGAGGAGAGAGCTTCAGGAAGGAGAAGGCCGTGAGCAGTAGTCAATGCTGATGGAGGTCAGGGAGGAGGCTGTGGCACACCCCACTGGACGTGGTGAGTACAGGTCACAGTGAGTTTCATAGGAGCAGACTCAGTTGAGTCCTGGGCAAAAAGCTGATTGAATAGAATTAATACAAAGGGACGTGGTGAGAAAACGGGGGATTTGTGAAAAGCCTACTGTTTAAGAAATGCTTTGGAATATAAAACAGAACTTGATCTAGGGAGAAAGTCACTCAAGAAAAGCAGTGCCACAAAGCCTTTTGTTATTGGTTTGTTTAATAGCAAGCTGAGCCTGCTCTAATCATGAAGCCTAAACTTTCATAGTTCTCTTTTTGGGGAAAAACAAGCAAAGAAGTATTTCTCTTCTGAGTAAGCCTACATGGATAGTTTTCAAAGAGTGCATGCATTTCCAAAATCTCCCCATCAAAGGCATGACTATCAATACCATTGAATACCTCACAAGGACATCTAGGATAGATTTTTGACTCGCCATAAAAAAGATAGCCTTGAATTCTCAGCAACATCAGTTGATTGGGCCAGAGATGTAGTTCCTGTTTTTCAAGAATTTGTACCCCAGGACCTGGATAGAGTATCATTTAAGTATTTTCTATAACCCTGTGTTGAGTATATTTATGTGGACAATGGGGCAGGATGTTGAGGAAACCTGTGAAATATAATCATTAAAGTAGGGACCACATCCTGGAATTAGAAATGAGCAGTGTTTGAATGATTACATAAGAAGAGAATTTGACAGTTTAAATTCTTATCCAAAAACATATGTAGTTTTATCCACTTGAAAGTAAATTACTTTTAGAGTGACAGGAGATTAGCTGCAGAAGTCTCATCTGAATACAAAACGTCATCTACCTCTGTTTAATACCCGGAGGTGCAAGTCATGGGGAAACTGGGTTTTGATGCCCAGAAATGGTCTCTTTCACATTCAGTGATTGAATTGCAAAGCTAACTTAATTCTGGAAGTACTAGCAACACTTTCACATTTAGGGGTTATGTCTTAAAAATATAGGTCCGGGATGAATTATTTAAAGCTGAGAATTCAAAAACATATTTCTCTTTGCTGGCTTCCTATAGCTGTGGCTTTGAATCCAAATTCTTGGCATTCAAGTCTCCTTCTCATCTGGCCTTGCCTTCAACTTTTTATTCAACATGCTCTGTGGCCATGCACCTTGCCTCAGTTGGGCCATTCTGTCCACTGTCAGGCCCAGCTTGGCTTCCATGTCTTTGTTCCTGTTGGGTCCACTCCAGCTGTCTACCTTCAAGTCCAAGACAAGCAGACTACACCCCAGTGATCAATCATGGTAAACAACTGTCCCTTTTAGGCTTATTTGAAGAGCATCACCACAATTTTATTCTTGTTTCACTCTGGTTTTCTCTGGCCCCTCTTTGGCTTATTTACAGTTTCTGTCCTATAAGAGTTAAAGAAAGAAGAAAGAAACACAAAAAGCAGCTCAACAGTCAAAGACAGGTTTATTCTGGAGAATAAACCTGAGAGGGGCTTCTGGCCGATTTCGGTCAGAAGCATTCTCCCTTACAGACTAAGGGTATTTAAGGGCTTAGGGAGAGAGAGCTTATAATGGGCTTGGAATGGTTCTGTGTGGAGGAGAGTTTTATTGTGGGATTGGAATGTCTCTGGTTGGAGGGAAGGTAATCTTGGGGCTGGCAAGTTTCTAGTCAGAGGGGAGATTATCTCAGAGTTGGAATGTTTCTGGTCAGAGATATCACTTGTGGTTATGGTCATGCTGACATTAGCCATAAGGCTGATATTTTTGGGCTGGATTTAGGAGGTTTTTAATCAACAGGAACTTAAAATGCAGTGTTTGTCCAAGATGGCGATGCTCCTGCTCTGTCATGTCCCCCTTCCTGTTTTTCACCCATTGGCCTTATTAACTGACCCTGATCTTCAACTGTATACCTTGGCATTCCCAGGTGGCTTAACTCTCTGGAGATTAACTCTGGCTTCTTTTCTCTGATTCTTTCCAACAGAATATAACATTCTAACTAAGTCCCACTGAGATCCAAACAATGTCCTAGCTTGCTAGGCTAAATACCTGCATTTCTGAGTGCAGGTGTGGTGTGTGTATGTAAGTGTTGATGTGTGCATGTGTGTGTGACGTGTGTGGGGTGTATATGTATGTGTGTGGTGTGCATGTGTATGTGTGTGTAGTTGTGTGTGTGCATGTGTATGCATGTGTAGTTGTGTGTGTGTGTCTGTGTGTGCATGCCTGTGTATGCGTGTGTAGTTGTGTGTGTGCGTGCCTGTGTATGCGTGTGTAGTTGTGCATGTGTGTCTGTGTGTGCATGCCTGTGTATGCATGTGGAGTTGTGTGTGTGTGTCTGTGTGTGCATGCCTGTGTATGCGTGTGTAGTTGTGTGTGTCTGTGTATGCGTGCCTGTGTATGTGTGTGTAGTTGGGTGTGTCTGTGTGTGCATGCCTGTGTATGCATGTGTAGTTGTGTGTGTCTGTGTGTGCGTGCCTGTGTATGTGTGTGTAGTTGTGTGTGTGTCTGTGTGTGTGTGTGCATGTGTATGCATGTGTAGTTGTGTGTGGGTGTGTGTGCATGTGTATGTGTGTGTAGTTTGTGTGTGTGTGTGCGTGCATGTGTATGCGTGTGTAGTTGCAGTGTTCAGTTTTCCCCATTAGGAATGATTACCTTTTTCTGTCTTACCCAGGCAAAATTTGTTGTGGGAAAGTTGATTAACCTCTAGGAGCCTCAATATTCATTTATCTACTCACTTCAAAATGCTGTTGTGAGGCCAGGTGTTGTGGCTCATGCCTGTCGTTTCAGTTACTCAGGAGGCTGAGGTGGGAAGGTCACTTGAGCCCAAGAGTTAGAGGCTGCAGTGAACTAAGATCGAGCCACTGCACTCCAGCCTGGGCAACAGAGCGAGGCCTCATCTCTGAAAAAAACTGTGGTTGTATGGAATGGAATAGAGAGCTCAGAAATAAGACCACATGCCTACAACCATCTGATCTCTGACAAACCTGACAAAATAAGCAATGGGAAAAGTGTTATTTATTTAATAAATGGTGCTGGGAGAACTGGCTGGCCATATGCAGAAAATTGAAACTGGACCCCTTCCTTACACCTTATACAAAAATTGACTCAAGATAGATTAAAGACTTAAATGTAAAACCCAAAACTATAAAAACCCTAGAAGAAAATCTAGGCAATACCATTCAGGACATAGGCATAGGCAAAGATTTCATGATGAAAACACCAAAAGCAATAGCAACAAAAGCAAAAATTGACAAATGGGATCCAATTAAACTAAAGAGCTTCTGTACAGCAAAAGAAACTATCAACAGAGTAAACAGACAACCTACAGAGTGGGAGAAAATTCTTGCAATCTATTCATCTGACAAAGGTCTAATATCCAGAGTCTACAAGGAACTTAAACAAATTTACAAGAAAAAAACAAACAATCCCATTAAAAAGTGGGCAAAGGGCATGAACAGACACTTCTTGCAAGAAGATATTCATGTGGCCAACAAACATATGAAAAAAAGCTCAACATCACTGATCATTAGAGAAATGCAAATCAAAACCACGAGATACCATCTCACACCAGTCAGAATGGCAATTATTAAAAAGTGAAGAGATAACAGATGCTGGCAAGGTTGCGGAGAAAAAGGAACACTTTTACACTGTTGATGGGAGTGTAAATTAGTTCAACCATTGTGGAAGACAGTGTGGTGATTCCTCAAATACCTAGAGGCGGAAATAGGAAATATCATCTGATCCAGCAATCCCATTACTGGGTATATACTCAAAGAAATGTAAACCATTCTATTTTAAAGATATATGCATGCTTATGTTCACTGCAGCACTGTTCACAACAGCAAAGACATGGAATCAACCCAAATGCCCATCAGTGATAGACTGGATAAAGAAAATGTGGTATATATACACCATGGAATACTATGTAGCCATAAAAGGGAATGAGATCATGTCCTTTGCGGGGACATGGATGGAGCTGGAAGCCGTTATCCTCAGAAAACTAACATAGGAACAGAAAACAAACACCGCGTGTTCTCACTTAAAAGTGAGAGCTGAATGATGAGAACACATGGACACATGGAGGGAAATAACACATGCTGGGGCCTGTTTGCAGGGCAGGAGGAGGGAGAGCATCAGGAAGATTAGCTAATGGATTCAGGGCTTAATACCTGGGTGATGGGTTGATCTGTGCAGCAAACCACCATGGCACATGTTTACCTGTGTAACAAACCTGCACATCCTGTTCTTGTACCCCAGAAATTAAAACAAAGTTGAAGAAAAAAATGCTGTTGTATGCATTTAAATAAATAACAATGATCTGGCACCTGGCAGAGTCCCCCTTCCATGGCACACGCGAAGTGCTCAAGAAGCAGGTGCCCATCTCCAGTCTTCACACTGTCATGTGATCAGATTTCTCTAGCCAGATTTCTGGTGCTATTTTCCTTTTCTGATATTCCGTAGCACTTAAATTTGAACACCAAAGTTGATAATTCACTCTCATATTAACTTGTATTATCCTCTTAATTTTGGTATCTTACACGAAACTGAGCAAGCAGTAGGCCCTCAATAAATATCTCATGACAGTGGAGATGTAGAGATGTAGAGAGAAAACAAGAAAAACCAAGAGAGGCCTAGAAGAATGCACTCTTTAATGATACCTGCGTCTGAGCATACCAGATAGATTTCCAAGTTGGAGCCCACTTGTAAAAAGTAAAGTAGAGGTTCCTCTTCAAAGACTTCCCTCCTCATCTAATTAGGAATAAATAGTAACTTCTCTTAGAAAGCAAAATTTATTCAAAGACCTGTGCTAACATTCCTAAATATCTGCTAGCTGTAATAAAGAAATCAATGTATTTTATGTTCTTAGCTCCCACAATTTAGCCTAAATATTTGCCCTGGCATGCTTATACTGGTCCAAGCAAGCATTAGGTCATAGCCTGTTCCTCTTCCTTATTTGAAGATGTTTTTACCTTTCTCAGCATTCTGCAAGTTACTTCCTCCTTCTTTTGTTCTCCTCTGCCTTTGCCTCTTTTAAAAAGTTCTAAGTTGCCAGCCAATCAGGACAAACACAGAATGTGAGGAACCGTTCTAGCCAATGGAAACTGGACACAGCAGTAGGGTGGACGTGTCAGGTTATAAATGACCCTGTCTCCTTTGTTTGGTGTTCTCTAGTGGCAAAACTGCTGGCGAGTGTACCCTTTCTGCAGAAAGTGAAAAAATGGCCTTGCTGAGGAAATTAAATTTATGTTCAAGTGCTATTTCTTTACGGCACCAGGGAACAAGCATTCCTAACACACTGAAGATCACTCTTCTACCCTAAAGCACATAAAACAAGCCACAAATTCCCTCTGAAGATCGGATATTTATCCTTCCACTCTAAACATATCAACTCCTTACATCTCTCCCCTTCTTCCCACCATAGGCACCAGATCTCAAGGTGCCATAAAACAGAATGCAGTATAACCTCACAAATAGGTGGGGGACCCACACTCCAAAATGTTGTTAGTGCCTCATAGATTGTTGTTGTAGTCATAGGGCTGAGGAAATGCGGCCATTCCTCTAGTCTTTCTATTAAGTGTATTCCAGCAAGCCTGTTCTTTTTCTTTACAAGAACACCCCTTCCCCTTTTACTTGAATTAGTCAGCGGGTTTCTGCTAAATGACGAAGACTCCTAGGAAGGCGAGTCGAGAAGCCCGAAGCAATCTCTCGGGTGTTGAGAAGCTGTGTAAAAGCCTTGGGACAGTGCTGAGCTCCCCAAAACACATGTCCCTTCAGAGAAGAAATTCATGCATTTTCCTTCCACCCATATGGCATCATACATAGTATTTTGCAAGCAGTTACCCAAGGAAATGACAGCAGGAAGCCATTTGCAGAAAGCTTCAGTTTGTGGGCTCCCCTGAGTGGGGGCTCATTTTTTCACAGAAGGAGCTTCACATTAATGGGGTTCTGTGGCATTTGAAAGGCTCTTGATTGGCTTTGAAAGGAAGCCAAGTGAACTCTAACTGCTGACCGGTCCTAATTCTACTCATGTGTCTAAGTTTCTTTCTTTTGGTCAATCTGACAATCAACATTAGCAGATTAGTTAGGATAGCTTTTCCGAATACTTCCAGGATGGCTGCCATTTTTTTTAAGGAAAGCCAGAGGAATTGGTCTGAAGTCATTATTCCTGTAAGAGAAAAGCAGCATTTGCTCTCCCATCTCTTCTCTGCAGGAGTAGTGATTAGTTGCACCATGGAATTCTAAGCCTCCTCTTTCAGCAATTACAGAACCTTCTATTATGAGCTTGTTGAGAGTTGGTTAGAGTAAAATTTTGCCTATTTTCTTGCTTCACAGGAAAATCAAATTCTGTTCCTTTGCCCAAGGCAACTGTGCCTCTAAACCTGTTCAGTGCATCTGGCTATTGAGATCAATGGCAACACAAACACAATTGGGCCATGTTTCTCTTATGAGCCAATCACTCCTTTTCACAAATCTCAGCAGTGTCAGATTAAGTGAGCCGCAACTGCGCAGAGCCATCCATCAAAACAAATCAGCCAACCCATAAATAAACTTCTGGGATGCCTCAAGGGATTTAGAAGAATTTATCCTTGTCTCATTCTTTTGTTCAATACGCAACTCCTGTAGCATGTAGAGCCGTACGTGCTGCCCTAGCCTACCCCACTGGAACTGCAAGTGGTGACTTCCAGAGGAGCACACTGCTGGGAATAGTTTCTGAGGACAGTGCAGGTGAATGGACTTAGGAAGAAATGATACTTCACAGAGAAGCAATCTCTCAAAAGATTCTGTGTGTGACAGATATGGGAACCATATTTCCTGTTCCAGTGATAAGGAAACATGGTTGTACAAAATTCAAGAGCACTGATGGGGACCCAATTTGAAATTAGGCCTGTGCCTGGATGCATGGTTGATGCAGACAGTGTATAAGCTGGCCTAGCATCTGGCCCAGGTCCCAGCTACAATCCAGGTCTTGCCTCTGATGTCTTGCCCCTTGAGGTTTGTGAGCTTGTGGAAATTCTTTTGTGAAGATGTCACATTTTCCTGGTAATTTGTTTTATTCACCTGTCAACACTTTCAGAAAGGGAAAGAATCATCTCCATATTTCTGCATTGTATTTATTCACTGATGTTTGTCTTCCTCACCTAGAGCATGTCTTATCCACGTTTGCATGCTCAGGGCCTGACATTATGCCTTCCAGGAAGTTGTCCAAGGAAAATTATATAGATAGATAGATAGATAGATAGATAGATAGATAGATAGATACTGAGTTTCGTTCTTTCCCCCAGGCTGGAGGGCAATGGTGCAATCTTGGCTCACTGCAACCTCTGCCTCCCAGGTTCAAGCGATTCTCCTGCCTCAGCCTCCCCAGTAGCTGGGATTGCAGGCACGTGCCACCATGCCCGGCTAATTTTTTATATTTTTAGTAGAGATAGGGGTTCACCATGTTGGCCAGGCTGGTCTCGAACTCCTGACCTCAGGTGATGCACCCACCTTGGCCTCTCAAAGTGCTGAGATTACAGGTGTGAGCCACTGCCCCCAGCCCAAGGAAAATAATTGAGGCAACTCAAATAGAGGTCAAAGCCTTCATTTAGCTGATGCAATTAAGGAGCCTCTGAAGACCAGGTAATTTCCCAATCAAAGCAAGGCTGTAGCTGTATAGGGTGAGGAGGAGGCAGGCAGATGTGCCCTAGTGATTTGGGCCAGGAAAAGCTTTTGTCTTTAACTGCTATGAAACTTGCAGTGGAGGCTGTCCTGGTTTTCACACTTCTTGCTCAGGATTGTGGTGCGGTCTCATCCTGATAACGGTTAGAACAGTACTTTCACGAATGACTTTTGAAAGCTTTGCAGTTTGTTGGTTAGTCAAGGTTCACAGGCTGGGGAAGGCAAGGGGGAAAAGGGAAAGGAGGTAAGAGTTGAAGGCAATAGAGAAACAGAGTACCCTCTATCACGCCTGCTTGAGTGTTTTTTATAGAGTAAATGTTTATGAAATGTGTAAACATAAGACTGAAAGGTCTAGGGTCCATGTCGGAAATGCCTAGCATTATCCTCATTTAAATGTTACACTTATTAAAAGTGTAAAGTGAAATGGTCAGAGTGCCAGAGCTCAGAAATTTCCCACAGATCTGGGCTGAGTAGGAGGAATGAACAGGAGCTCATAAAAATGGGAAATCTCAGCTGGCCATGGTAGCTCATGCCTGTAATCCCAGCACTTTGGGAGGCTGAGGTGGGTAGATCCCTTAAACTTGGGAGTTTGAGACCAGCCTGGACAACATGATGACACCCCATCTCTGCAAAAAGTATAAAAGTCAGCCAGGTGTGGTGGCTCATGTCTGTGGTCCCAGCTACTCGGGAGGTGAGATGGGAGGACAGCTTGAGCTTGGGAGGCAGAGGTTGCAGTGAGCTGATTGTGCCACTGCACTCCAGCCTGGGCGACAGAGTGAGACTCTGACCTCGAAAGAAAGAAAGGAAGAAAGAACAGAAGAAAGGACGAAAGAAAGAATGAAACAAAGAAAGAAAGGAGGGAAAGAAGGAAGGAAGGAAGGAAGGGAACATCTCTCCAGCTGGATGAAGTGGGCATTTAATACAGGGCATTTCATGAGATCTCAAAAGAGAGAAAGCAGAGTCTAGTTTCCCCGATGGCAACCTCTCCCCCTCCCCAACTCCCATACTCTCAGACTTCAGAAGAGTGGGTAGAAAGCAATACCCACAATGGTAATTCTTGGGGGTGAAGTGGGGGTAGGGAGAAGGAACCAACTGGTTCAAGGTAAGGTGAGATGTATATCAAGGAAAAGTCACTCTTAATGTATCAAAATATTAGAAGCTTTGGACAGAACTGTCCATGTTAAGGATGAACAAGATGTAAAGAAATGGCGTGGCAAGTCTGCAAACCTCCCCCACCACCTCAACACGCATGTGAGTAAAAGAAAGGAACATTATATTGCATTCAAAATACAGAAGAAGAATCCAGTCTGGAAGAAAATATGATCCTTAGACCAGAATCATATTCCCCATGAGTATTTCGCATTATAGGCAAACTTAGGAATATAAACTCATTTTTTAAAAGAGCATAAAGAAGAAGTGGAGCAATACCCATTCAATTTTAAAAGAAAGAGTTACTCAAGAATAGTATCCCCAGCTGTCAGTGAAGTATAGAGACAACAGGTGGCCATTCACAAACATAAAAAAGTCTAAGTATATAAGCCTCATAAGCTTCTTGATTAAAAACTTCCCAGTGATAAAATTCAACTGCTTGAGAGGTGAATCAACATTAAGAATTTAAGAATGGGGCCAGGTAAGGTGGCTCACTCCTGTAATCCCAGCACTTTGGGAGGCCGAGGCAGGTGGATCACCTGAGGTCGGGAGTTCAAGACCAGCCTGGCTGATGTGGTAAAACCTAGTCTCCACTAAAAATGAAAAAATTAAACAACCAGGTGTGGTGGCATGCCCCTGTAACCCCAGCTATTCAGGAGGCTGAGGTGGGAGAATTGCTTGAACCCAGGAGGCAGAGGCTGCAGTGAGCTGAGATCATGCCACTGCCCTGCACTCCAGCCTGGACAACAGAGTGAGACCTTGTATAAAAAAAAAAAAAATTTAGGAATGGAAAAGTTGAGTTGTGGTTATGAAACCAGCCCTGATACTGAATATTGACTTCATTTAACTGCAGAATTAAGATTAAGCAACTGGGGAGTCAGAATCACACAATAGGACATGAATATCTTGAACCCTTTGAATGTAATAATAATACACAGAACAAAATATTGGGAAGTCAGGACAAGAGGGTATTGAAGGAAGTCTCAAGAATACTAGATATCTCATCTTTCAGAGCAGGTAATCAGTATTGTCAGAATAAGGAAGCTGAAACATGTAGTTAAAAAATGACTTCAACTTTTCAATGACTTTTGTAGTTCTTTCTTTCTTTCTTTCTTTCTTTCTTTCTTTCTTTCTTTCTTTCTTTCTTTCTTTCTTTCCTTTCCTTTCCTTTCTTTCTTCCTCCTTTCCTCTCCTCTCCTTTCCTTTCCCTTCCTTTCCTTTCCTTTCTTTTTCTGAAACAGAGTCTCACTCTCACCTAGGCTGGAGTGCAGTGGTGCAATCTCAGCTCACTGCAATCTCACCTCTCAGGTTCAAGTGATCCTCCTGCCTTGGCCTCCCAAGTAGTTGGGATTACAGGTGCCCACCACCATGCCCAGCCAATTTTTTGTAGTTTTAGTAGAGACAGGGTTTCACCATGTTAGCCAGGCTGGTCTTGAACTCCTGACCTCAGGTGATCCGCCCGCCTTAGCCTCCCAAAATGCTGGGATTACAGGCATGAACCACCACCCCTGGCCTTGTAGTCTTATTTCTTAAATATGATGGGATATTTCAAGAACTAGCATCCTGGAAGCAGCATTTTCTAGCCATTTTTAAATCCATCCATCTAAATGTTTTATACACGTAGGCAAAGAAAGATGTTTGGAGCGATGTCACCAAGTGTTACCGCTGATAGGATTTTGAGTAATTTGTTATTTTCTTCTCTTCTTTATTGTTTGGATTTTTAATAGTGATTCGACGTTTATTTTATACAAACAATAAAGACACTATTTTGACCAAAAATGCCTGCCACTTCCACTTCATCAATCCATTTTTTATTTTCTGTTGGTCAAATTTTGGCCTCTGATAGCAATTTTTCTAAGTACATCTTCAATTTCCTGAGACACTAAATCACAAGCAAGATTAGCCAAGGGATTTCAAATGTCCTTCTTTTAAGCTGATGCAGTTTAATGATATTACCATTCAGGATAGGAAGTAGGGAAGAGTAGAGAAAGAGAGATGGATGGAAACAAAGAGATAAGCTGGAAACCTCATTTTTCCCAGAGTCCGACATGAGTGTAAGAATGCAGAAATGTTAAAAAGGCTCAGTTCTGCTTATGAGGAGCAGGAAGAGCAAGACATAAGGCATACCTTGGAGTCATAGTCCCAGAGTTAGACGGCTTCGTAGAGTCAGGCGTGACTCCACGCACGCCTGCACGCCTGTAGTCTTAGCTACTCAGGATGCTGAGGTGGGAGGATTGCTTGAGCCGGGAGTTCAAGGCTGCAGTGAGCTATGATCATGCCACTACACTCCAGCCTGGGCAACAGAGCAAGACCCTGTCTCTAAAACAACAACAACAGCAACAAAACACAACCACAGCGGAATAAGAGGAAGGGCTCAGAGAATGAGATGCAGAGAATGAGATGTAGGATGGAGTATTCCTAAAGGTGGAAATGAAGGTGGGGGAGATGTGTTAGGAGGATTAGAGGTTAGAGGGTTTGATACAGACACCTGTCATGCTCTGCCTGTGGCCACAGAAAGATGAAAAGTGTGTGGGAGTGCTTGGCAAGACATCAAGATGGCTAAGAAAATAGAAATCCCTCCACGTCAAATGCATGCCTACAACCATCTCTAAATACACAGAATTACAATATAAACACAGTAAAACCTGAAGCAACTCTGGGAAAATGAAACTCTTACATTTAATCAAAATAAGATCACCGGAAACCTGATTGAAACCTTTCATGTCCCTCAGATTATGAGGGGCAACTTGAGTGGGTGAGAAATGTATTTTGTTCACCTTAGTTCAAATAATGTATGTAAAATCCAATTCTGGTCTATTCACCTGGGGAGGGGAATATCTGTTCTAACAGCACCAGCAACCACAGCAACAAAAGCAACCTGGTGTCTAATCTTAGATTCACTGCTATAAAGAGGACCCAGAAGAGGAAAAAGCCGGAGAGAGACCTTAATCAATTGGAGTTTAACCTTTGGTTCGATATGTTTCATCTTGTGGTCAGAACTGAAAGGGCTGAGACGGCTTTATTTTAAAAGTTGTGTTGATGACTGATCAAAAGCAGTTATATCTGGGAGATCATTCAGGTGCGAGAACACTCCAAAGTAATTTCTGTTCTACTTAGCATTTATATAGCACCAGAGAGCTCCGCAGGGTTATTAATACACACCTCGCACTTTCAGAGCAATTTACAGCCATTCTGGATGCTGCCCTTATCTGTGGGGCTGGAGGGGTGGGCAGGGGCCAAGAACTCAGACTGCTCGAGCTGCTGCTTTGAAACCATCCATTTGCCTTTCCTGTTGAGGGCGGGTTCCTGGGCTCAGAAATCGGCTTCCTCAGCAGCCCTGTCCTGATCCGTGAAGGACAACCCTCCCCTCGCTCCATGGAGCCTCTGTGGATGGGCCACTTTCTGTAGGCGAGACACACAGAGAGGATGAGGGACACGGAGAGACACCTGCAGTGTGACCCTAGACAAAACGTGGCTTTGGGCCGGGCGCGGTGGGCCATGTCCGTAATCCTAGCAATTTGGGAGGCCTAGGCAGGCGGATCACTTGAGGTCAGGAGCTCGAGACCAGCCTGGCCAACCCCATCTCTACTAAAAATACAAAAGTTAGCCAGGTGTGGTGGTGGGCACCTGTAATCCCAGCTACTCGGGAGGCTGAGGCAGGAGACTCGCTTGAACCCTGGAGGTGGAGGTTGCAGTGAGCCAAGATTGCGCCACTGCACTCCAGCCTGGACAACAGAGCGAGACTCCATCTCAAAACAAACAAACAAACAAACAAACAAACCCACAGCCTTGTGTTCCATTTCCCTCTGACACCAACCTTTCTGTGGAGATGGCTGCCTGCACTTGCCCTGGGCGGGAACTCAGGGACTTCCTCCTCCCAGTTGTCTTCCCACAGTCCCTCCCTGGCCTTTCCTGCCAGAGGCAGCACTCCATTTCCCCAAGACTGTGGGCTGGGCCGTGTCCTTTTGTCCTGGAACTAGGGGCCAAATCTTGAGAGTGCCTCATATTCCCAAGAGAGCTGCCAGGGACTGCCAACAACCTGGGTGGGCACCTCTCTCGGGGCTTAATAGGGGCAGTAGCACTGGCTCTCCCTCATGCCAACTTCTCACCTGTCTTTCTACAGGAAGAGACCAATATGGGCATTGACTTACATACCCATCAAAGGTGGGCTGGATAAAGGAAATGTGCTGCATATACACAGTGGAATACTATGCAGCCATGAAAAAGAATGCGATCATGTCCTTTGCAGCACATGGATGCAGCTGGAGGCTGTTTTTCCAAGTAAATTAGTGCAGGAACAGAAAACCAAAGACTGCATGTTCTACTCATAAGGGAGCTGAACACTGGGTAGTGATAAAGACGGGAACAGTAGACACCAGGGACTACTAGAAAGGGGAGAGTGGGAGGGAGGCAAGGGCTACAAAACTACCTATTGGGAACTATGCTAACTACCTGGGTGACCGGATCAGTCATACCCCAAACCTTAGCATAACACAATATACCCACGTAACCCCCAATCTAAAATAAAAGTTGAAATTATTTAAAAAAAAATAGAGTACGGACCCCCCCACCTCAAAGAAAAAGACCAAGAGGAGAGCAGACAGGAGAGGATCTCTGGGGCTGTGCCCTGTGGAAAGTGCAGTGCTCAGTTTAAGAGGTGATTCTCTTCTTCCCATGAAACCAAATGAGGGGGCTTTAACAGAGTTACTTCTCAAGGCTGGAGGTTCCTGTCAGAAGAGAAGAGGACAGCGTGTTCCCTAAAGGGCATACAAGCCCAGGGCAACTAAGTCTGAAGGGATCCTAGTAAAAGCAATGAGCATGTCCCAAAGGGCAGTGCTTTGCACCATCTCCTGTTCCTAAGTGCAGGGCTAAAGGCCACCTCCCAGGAGGCCTTGGAATGGCCAGCTGGACATTTGTGTAGGCAGTGAGCTTGTTGGTCAGCTTGAGTGGAGGAGAAGAGAGCTGGAAAAGAAGGATGGCAGGAGAGAGGGCATGGCTGTGGGGCAGCTGGCTTGCTGAGTCTAGTGTGGCCAGGATCTGTCACCCCCAGGTTGAGTGGAAACTGTAGAACATGGCAGAGCCCAGGCTGTTTTGCTATACTCTCAGCCAGAGGGCTGTTGGCCGGGGCAGAGGTCCTTACCCCAAGAGGCTGGAGGATAGAAGGCCAGGAGTAGACTCTTGGAAGAGTTAGAAAGCTGAGGCCAGTGCAGCTCTCTTTCCTGGGGGAGGAAGCCCAATGTTACTTCAAGGAGCCGACATGGCTGGACATTGGAGCCCATGAAGAGGCTCCCAGGGCCGGTGCGAACCCCAGCTGCAGGGGCCACCCCAGATTGTCTATCGCAGCACCTGCCCAGACACTTACCTCGCCTTTACTCTTCTCCATTATGCAACCAGTGAAATATCAGAAAGCAGATGAAGAACAATGCAAATCATGTCAACTTTTAACTTCTTTCACCTCCTCCTTCTAGATCTAAAGTCGAGTCATAGGAATATTGAGTTTGGACAGATTGTTTAAGTTCTAATGTGACACCAAGTTTCTCATGTAAGTAAATTTTAGTATCTGTAAAATGCATACATTAAGATAATCTTATCTGGGGATTTAAAAAGTAAGTTTGTTTTACAACTCAATGCAAAATAATACCAGTCTTCTGTAGGAAATGTAGGAAGCACAGATAAGTTTTTAAAAAGCTAAATCTGAACAGAAATCCCACACTGAGAAGTAATGGTGATTAGACTTTCTAGTAGTTGCTTTCCCATCATTGTATGTATGTGTGTGCTGGCATGCACACATGTGTGTGTGTGCCTGCACGGACATGGGATCATATTGCATATGCTTCATTGTAACCCACTTTTTAATCACAACATTATATTATAAACACTTTCCATGGAATTCTTACGCAGCATCACGTATTGGATGTGCGGCATTTTTCTGTTGGACATCTCAGATAGGGAAGCCCACCTGGAAAGTCCTCATTGTTTCTCTAATACAGTGGCTATTGGAGCTTAGCTTGTGGAAGGAGGTTTACTTTGGAGGCCTCAAATCATGACGTCTTTCTACACCTGAAATCACAGTTTCTCCCAGCCATCCAATGAGTTCTGGACTGGTGGAGTTGGAGGGGCAGCAGGAACAGGGCGAAAGTGGGAAGTGGGGCTGTGAAATCAAGGCAAGCCTGATGATGTGGTTTGGATGTGTGTCCCCTCCAAATCTCATGTTGAAATGCAATCCCCACTGCTGGAGGTGGGACCTGCTGGGAGGCCCTTGGGCTGTGGCAGTGGATCCCTCTTGGCTTGATGCTGTCCTTGCCATAGTGAGTGAGTTCTTGTGAGATCTGGTTGTTTAAAACGGTGTGGCACCTCCCCCCCTGCCCCTTGCTCCTGTTCTCGCCATGTGATGTGCCTGCTCCCACTTTGCCTTCTGCCATGAGTAAAAGCTCCCTGAAGTCTCCTCAGAAGCTGGGCAGATGCCAGCACCATGCTTGTGCAGCCTGCAGAGCCATGAGCCAATTACACCTGTTTTCTTTATAAATTACCCAGTCTCAGTTATTCCTTTATAGCAACACAAGAATGGCCTGACACATCTGGGATAGAAGGTAGATGGCAGGTCTGGGGTTGTGGGCTGGGCATGGAGCTATGAGAGAATTGCTTGGAATTCTACAAGACCATATACGAGGCCAGGTGACATGAAAGGTTATGGGTCAAATCAGGCAGGGGGTCCACAATTGGGAAGGCATGCAGCCTATGTGCAAACATTCACTCTAGAAGCTCTGTGAACACCGACCATGTGCTGGATGCTAGAGAGCTGATACTCTGATGGTTGAGAGGGAGCCAAACTCCATGTCAGCCTAAGAAACAACCGTCTAGTAGTGAGGATGTCATAAGCAAAAGGTTTCATTAAAATGTGATAAATGCCATCAAAGAAGCTGGAACAGGTGCCACGGGACAAGAGGGGAAACCCCTCAGAGTGTGGGAAACCTCATGAGGGGGCTGCGCCTGAGTTGAGTTGGGGGGTGGGGCAGAGTGGATGGAGGGACAGTGGGCACGGGGTGGGGGGCGAGGTCAAGTGCAGGATGGCAGGCAAGGTGAGAGAAGCTCAGGGGGCGGGAGTGGATCTTGGTGTTTGGGGAAGAGAAGGGGGAAATTCTAAAAGTCAGATTCGATAAAATCTTTTGAGGAATTGCTCTAAGTAGCTGTAATAGAATGGCATTTTAGTTTGTATGCAAAATACCATAGACCGGGTAGCTTATAAACAACAAACATTTATTTCTTACAGTTCTAGAGTTTGGAAGTCTAAAATTAAGTTACAGGAAGATTTGGTGTCTGGTGAGGTCCTGCTTCCTGGTTCATATGTGGCACCTTCTGGCTGAGTCTCCACATGGTGGAAGGGGGAGGAGCTCTCTGAGGCTTCTTCATGAGGGCACTAGCCCCATTCGTGAAGGCTCTACCCTCATGACCTAATCACCCTCAGCAGCGCCAGCTCCTAACACCATCACACTGGGGGTTAGGATTCAGCATGGGAATTTGGGTAGACAAAAACATTCACTCCATGGCAAATGGGCACACATGGGGTTATAGTCGGGCTAATGAAAGTGTACACTGCTCTGGTGATGGGTGCACCAAAATCTCACAGATCACCACTAAAGAACTTACTCAGGTAACCAAACACCATCTGTTCCCCCAATAACCTATGGAAATAAATTTTTTTTTTTTTAAAAGAGAGAAAGCAGAACAGTTCTGCTCTGTTATGTGCAAGCTCTGTGACATTAATTTTCCTCACTGAGCTTTGCTTGCCCATCTGTAAAAACAAGAGCAAGACTCCGTCTCAAAAAAACAAAAACAAAAACAAAAAACAAACAACAACAACAAAAAACAAAACAAAAACAAAAAAAAACAGGGGTCATCTCTAACTGTGGGCTGTGCTTGGGGTCAAATGGGAAAACTGGAGGGAAAACACCTACCATGCTGGAGGCCCGGGAAGCCTGGACTTCTTCCTACCTCCTTGAAAACCAGCTCTCATGGAAGACAGTGTCTGCTGTGTGTCCAGCTGGAAGTGCCCATGCTCCGTGTACTGAGGGCAAGGTTACTTCTCTGCCACCAACTGAGCCTGTGAAGGCTGAGTCGGGATGAGTGTGAAAGGGCTGGAACATGAAACCTCACTGTTGTTTACATCCAGGGCCAGGCTTCTTCTGCAAAGCTGCCCAACACAGTCCCATGAGGTCAGGACACAAGATACAGCTTTAAATGCCTCCTAACCTGGCAGGAAAGGATTAGGAGATGAGCTCCAGCCCTTGAAACCACCACAACGGTGGCCGCCATAATTGTGCACTTGGCAGCCATTATCAGAGCTCACTTGTCCCCTGTCAGTGTTTTGGGCTGAAGTGTGTCCCCCCTTGCTCCCTTCCCTAAATTCACATGTTGAAATCCTAACCCCCAGGACCTCAGAATGTGGCTGTATTTGAAGACAGGCCTTCAGAGAGGTGACTGAGTTAAAATGAGGTCGTAAGGGTGAGGCCTAATCCAAAGGACTGCTCTCCTTATAAGAAGAGGAGATGAAGGCGCAGACACACACAGAAGGAAGACCACATGGGGACACAGGGAGAAGACAGCCATCTGCCAGCCAAGGAGAGAGGCCTCAGGAGAAACCAACCCTGCCAACATTTTGATCTCAGACATCCAGCCTCCAGAACCATGAGGAAATACATTTCTGTTTAAGCCTCTCGGTCTGTGGTGCTTTGTCATGGCAGCCTGAGCATACTCAGACACAGAGGCTGACAATCTTCTCCTTCCTGTCTATTATTCTTGCCACCAAACATCAAACCAAACATATTCTGCCAGTGCCCTTGCAGCTGTGGTGCATCTGTGGCACTGTTTTTCCCGCTCACTCAAACTCTCGTGGATGGAACTTTCCACGGCTGCTCCAGCCCCAGCTCTCCCTTCCCCTAGCCCCATCATTTGTGGACCTCAGTGTTCTCTCATCACTTCACGAAAATTTACCTTGTGGCCTCAATTATAGTAGAAGCCCTTAGACTGCCAACTTCTTGGCTGTGTCACCTGGAGCAAGTTCTGGAACCTTCAGTTTCCTCATGTGTAAGAACAGCTGTAAGCCAACCACACCGGATAAACAACCAGCTCTGCCTGACCCTGGAATCCCAGATGCCTCTCTTGGCCCATGGTGGGATACCCTGCTCTGCCACCTCTCAGTACCACCATCGCTACAATGCACAGCCTGCCTGACCCTATGGCCCTGCCTCTGCTGACCACAGCAGGTGCACAACCTACTGTAGACTGTGGCTCAGCTCCAAGGCCCTGACATTCCCAGGCTGTGCCTTCATGCAGTGCATAGTTATCTGGCTTATGTTCAGCCACCACGTCCCATGAGAGGACAAGGATGGATGAGGCCTTCGTTTTGTCTGCCTGGACTCCAAGATATTATCCTTGTGCTGCAATAGGTAATAGCTACCTGCAGCTGATGACTCAGACTTCCTCCTTTCACAAACACTTTTTTTTTTTTTTCTGGCAGGGCCACTTTGCCTCTGTGACATTCAAGAAGTGCTTACAACTGAGACCTGCCTGCAAGCTGCAAAAACTGTAAGGGGAAAAACTTTGCTTGGAGAGTGCTCTTGAACACTAAACCATATTGCTTTGCCAAACAGGAATATGGGGGTGAAATAGGGGTCATTGTCAGAGGTAGGTGCAATTTTACAATTGAAGCCAACAGGCTTGAAATATAGTGAAAGCACTTTTGGTTAAAAAATAAACTCTCCAAGTTTGCAAAAGGGTCAATTATCATTACTTTTATTTGGGCTCAGAAATCTTTCCTAACCACAGCTTAATCTTTTCTCAAACAATCTATGACAACCTCCAGCTACAGGAAGCTAAAAGAGCCACTGTGTCATGTCCAATTAAGGAATATTATCAAGATGTCTGTGTCTCTAGGGAGAATAGCCCCCCCAGGGATGGTCACCTGAATTGACTTTACCTGCGAGCACCCAACAGCATGGAGGCTGGACTTTTGGTGACATAACTTTTTTTTCTCTCCCAACCTTTTTCTCTGTCATAACTTGTTATTGAACTCAGAAGCAGGAACAATGACCCAGTCCTTCTGGGAGATATGATGTGGTGGCAGTTTGGGCTCTTTTTAAATGCATGTGTCATTTGTCCTTACATCTGGTTCTGAATCACAAAAAGAATCTATAAAAAGCCAGAACCTAAATAAATGTTAGCAGCATTGTTTGGTGAAAGCCCTGTAACCATCCAATGGGTTCATCTTGCCAGCTGCCCAGATAAAGCTGATTTATCAAGACAGGGGAGTGGCAACAGAGAAAGAGTTTAATATACAAAGAGCTGGCTAAATGGGAAACCAGAGTTTTATTATCACTCAGATCATCCTTCCAGAATGTTTGGAGGCAAGGGTTTTCAAAGATAGTTTGGCCTGCAGGGGGCTAGGGAATGGGTGCTGCTGATTGGTTGGTGAGGTAATCATAGGGGTGTGGAAACCAGTTCTTGTGTGTTGAGTCCACTTCTGGGTAGGGACCACAGGACTGGTTGAGTCAAGAGTTGCGGGTCCAGGTGGAGCCACTGGTCATCAGAAATGCAAAAGCCTGAAAACACACCTCAAAAGGCCAAACTTAGGTTCCATAATAGTGGTGTTATTTACAGAAGTAGGAAGGTTGCAAATCTTGTGACCTCCAAAATTATGGCTTGTTATCATTTAATTACATCTACATCTTAGCAGAATTCAGGTCCCTCTCATTCTCCTAACCTGGTGGACTTTCATTAGTTTAACTAATGTGGTTTAGTTTTGGGAAAGGGCTATTATCGTTTAAACTATGAACTAAGTTTCTCCCTAAGTTAGTTTGGTCCACTCAGGAGTGATCAGTGCAGTTTGGAGGTTACAGGCAAGATGGAGGTGGTTAGATCAGATCTCTTCCACTGTCATAATTTTCTCATTGCTATAATTTTTGCAAAGGTGTTTTTAGCCCTTTGTTAAAGTACAAAGATTGCCACGTGGATGAGCAGGGTTTGAACACCTTGCCTCTTTGAGAGGACCTCTTCATGCCCTGCCAGCTCCTGTGGGCCTCATGGTCTCTCACTATTGGGTAAAGAATATGACTCCAGTTCCTCTATGAAGTGTCATCTGCCACCTCAGTTTATCTGGCTTTCTGCACATTCACTCCTTTACTTAGCAAGCTTGGGAATCTTTTTTGTATATCTCCAACTAAGTGCTTGGAGGGAGGAGGGGAAAAGTTGCATTTGCTCTGTCTCAGACCTCTGGCATCATCAGTCCCTGGTTTGTGGGGCATGAAGCAGATACATTTATGGGGCCATCCTTAAGAAAAAGAACAAAAGTGATTTCACTTTGGCAAATTTTACCAAAGCATATAACCATGTAAACACATTGCAGGAGCTTATCCCGAAGCCTTGTGTCAACTGAAAAAATTGTGAGATTTGGCCGGGCGTGGTGGCTCATGCCTGTAATCTCAGCACTTTGGGAGGCCCAGGAGGGTGAATCACTTGAGGTCAGGAGTTTGAGACCAGCCTGGCCAACATGGTGAAGCCTCGTCTCTACTGAAAATACAAAAATTAGTGGGGCTTGGTGGTGCATGCCTGTAATCCCAGGGACTCAGGAGGTTGAGGCAGGAGAATCGCTTGAACCCAGGAGATGGAGGTTGCAGTGAGCCAGGATCACGTCACTGCACTCCAGCCTGGGTTACAGAACGAGACTCCATGTCAAAAAAAAATTGTGAGATTCATACATTTAGAGAGGAGAGCAGGACTGTGGCCTGCAGGCTGGCCACTCTGCATGCTAAGAAGTGGAACCTCCAACAGAGACTGAAAGCAGGCACTTTAAGGGAGGGAAGAATGGAACAGGAATTTATGCCAAATGGGTTGGCTAAACATATATATTTAATAGGTTTTAGGAGGAGCTATGCATATTCATGAGGGGAAGTTGCACACATGCATGGTAAGCAAACATGTATATTACATATACCCCATGATCACTCTGTGGTGGAGACTTAACATTTAAATGCATTAAAGTTAGGCTCTATACATCAAAGGGGCAGCAAAGCACACAGAAGCATCTCGTGTGCAGCCTCTGTAAACCAGCCAGAACCAGCCCACGGTCGCTGGTTATTTATCAGGGAGAATGTGTTGTGAAACTGATGAGCTGCCATGTCGAGGCTGCAAGAAGGGACGGGAGTCTGGCTGGGGCATCTGGTGATTGGCTAAAGTCAGCGATGGAGCAAACCTTCTGTTTTTGTTTTTCCAGGGCTAGCTTCTGTTTAACTCTTAGGAAATAATCCAGTATAAGTTAACAAGGAAGGAAGTATACTGAGGTGTCACTGACCTCCCTTCTTGTCATGGAATTTAGTTTTCCAAGTTTTTTCTGGGGCATCCTTGGCCAAGCAGGGTTCATTCGCTCTGTTGGCAGGGCTCAAGATTTTATTTTTATTTCACACTCAGAAGGGGCCCGACGCTTAGGATTCACCACCTCCTCAGGAAATCTGCCTGTGCTCTGTGGGATATGGTGGCATTTCTATGGGGGATGTTTCTCGGCCACTTGTGGCCCTTAGTTCTTGGGTCTTGAGTCCCCTCAACCATCCCCACCTGCCCAAGTCTCTCACAACTTCATTCTTCCTCTTTTTATGAGGTAGCAAGATAAGTTCTGCTCTGTACTCTTGGCCTCAGTGTCCTCTTCTGTAATGTGGGGATTTAGGATGTTATCTCTTAGAAAACATCTGAAACATACTTGGCTCTCAAAGAATGCTATCCGGTGCCTATTTCTCAAACCACGTGCCCAGATTCCTGACCAATCAGCTGCTCATATTTCTATGTCTGGTTCCAGAACAAAATTTTGTCACAGCTAAGAATTATAAAATTTGTACCCCTCAGCCTATAGTGTAAAAATAGCTGCCAGAAGAGGCCATAGATATATCCAGAACAGAGATTAGAATGCTTCACTGAAGACTTGTTTATTGTAGTAAATGACCCAAACTTAAATCTTAAATGTCCAGCCAGAAGAGATGAGTAAACCTAAGGTAACATTATACAATGGAATACATGACAACTACCAAACTCATTTTAAATATTAATAGATTGCATAATATATTGCCAAGTGAATAATACAGGTGACAGAACTGTATTTACAATCTTATTTCATTTTTGTAAAATAAATACTTCACACACACAACACACACACACACACACACACCGCACAGTGTTGCAGGAAGCATATGCACCAGATGTTACCTGTGGTTATCAGAAGGATGAGGCAAGGGGCCATGTTCTTGTCTTGCTGACCTGCATTTCCTATAAGGTTGCAGTGGAGGAGGCCCCTCAGGGCACCACACCCGGGCCCTCTCCTTTCCTCTGCCCAACCCCACTTCAAGCTTATAATCAAATTCTAATCAGCAAGTGGGTACTCAATTGCCGAATGTTTTTGGGCTCATGTTTGCCAATTTAAAAACAGCAGACGTTTCTAGCCAATTATTGCAGTGACTCTAGAAGAGTGATTACTTTCTCCGTCTTGTGGCTCTGATGATTCTTCAGGAAATTGAGCTGAGAGTTTAATGTCAAGTGGCTTTGTGAACAGCATTTTTATTGGAAGTTGAGCCTTTGATTTCTGAGTTGTGAAGCAACTCTGTTCTATTCGAGAGAATGTTTTCTTTGACCATGGAAGACATCAAATTTGGTTCAAACAAGAGGACCTTGTGTGAGGACTACATACACAGGTGATCCTAAAGTATCAGCTTGACCCCAATCACAGTGTTTACGTGTTTAGGTAGCTCCAAAATGTTTGAAGCAGCTTCCTAATGAGCAGCTGGTTTTGTTGTGAAATTGTGTTTCTAAACAGCAACCTCTCAGAGCAGCTGAGAAATAATTGTAAAATAATAATTATTAATAATTGTATGTAAATAATGATTAATTAATCATTAATAATGAATGATAAATAATTATTAAGAATAATTGAAATGATTCCTAATGTTTTTATTCTGTTTTACTAATAATAAGTAAAGATTTGACTTTTGTGTTTTATTTTATAGTTTGCAAACTACTTTTTAAAAACAACTTTATTGGGATATAATTTTCATACCATACAACTAACTCCCTTTTTTTTGAGACGGGTTTTTGCTCTGGCACCTGGGCTTCTGGTAGCGCAGTCATGGCTCACTGCAGCTTCAATCTCCCAAACCCAAATGATCCTCCCGTCTCAGCCTTCCCAGAAGCTGGGACTATAGGTGTGTGCCGCCACGCCTGGCTAATTTTAAAATTTTTGTAGAGATAGAATCTCCCTATGTTGCCCAGGCTGGCCTCAAACTGCTGGGCTCAAGTGATCCTCCTTCCTCAACCTCCCAAAGTACTGGGATTACAGGCATGAGCCACTGTACCCAGCCAATTTGCCCATTTAAAGTGTACAATCTAATGGTTTTGAGTATATTTGCAGAGTTGTGCAACCATCACCACAATCTAACTTCAGAACAATTTTTTCACCTCAAGAAGAAATTCTGCCTAATTGCAGTCACTTCGTATTCTCCATCTCAACTCTCATTCCTAGTCTTATGAAATGTAGGGGATAAGAGAAAACTTCCCCTTCACCCTTTGAAGGTTCTCTAACAAAAGGCAGAATAACAGGAGAAAAGGTACACACATTTATTAACGTGTATGGTGGGGTTGGGATGTGGGCAGGGGAGTAGTGGATCACAGGGGGATTGCCCACCAACCCAGTGTGGCACAGAAGCTTTACGGGGAAGAGAGGAGATGGAGACTGTAGGCAATGCTTTCATTAGGGAGAATTGAATGGACCCACGATGTTGGAGGCAGACTTTATAGGAAGAAAAGATGTGGAGCTGCACAGGAACAAAGGTTGTCTTATTATGCAAAAAAAAGTCCCCCAGGTAATCTCCTGGGGTTACCCTCAGAAGAATAGATGAAAAGTTTGTCTGGGCATGGGGTAACTCCCAGTCTCTTCTCTTCTCCAATGGTTGATAGTTCCTGGTTATTTGATGAGATCCCTAGGGAGGGGGTTTAAGACAATTATGTTTCTTTTGGAAAGAAGCTTTCTTGGTCAGAGAAGGAAATTCCAAAGAGAGTCCCTCCCTGCACTTGGTGGGTGGGGGTAGAACAAAACAGGGTTAGAGGCAGCTTGATTATGAGGCAGCCTCTATGGTCTCTCAGCATGTCAAAGCATCGACTTTTGGGGTGTCGTTTTCTAAGCCCCAAAGGCAACCACTAATCTACTTCCTATCTCTATAGATTTATAAATTTGTCTCTTCTGGACATTTCATATAAATGGAATCATACAATATGTGGACTTTTGAACTGACTTCTTTCACTTACGTACATAATGTTTTTGAGGTTCATGTATGTTGTAGCATGTATCAGCACTTCATTCCTTTTTATTGTCAAGTAAAATTCCACTGAATAAATATACCACATTTTATGTATTCATTCATCAGTGGAGTATTTGAGTTGTTTCCACCATTTTTTGGCTTGTTAAAGTATGCTCCTGGCTGACAGACAAAATGGACTTCCTATGACTACCTGAGGTGCTCAAAGTTAACACAGAACCAGGTGTCCATGACTGGTGAAGGAGTGGTCACATATTCTGTGTTCTCAGAAAGATGTAAAAATGTCACAGGACCCACCCTTCTACAAGCCAAACTGGTTCCCATTGTCAGTGCCCAGACAGACTGCAGCTGGAAACTCCTCAACTTGTAACTACCCAATGAGTTCTTCTTGCCCACTGCCCAAATAGTGCCAATTCATCAAGACAGAGGAATTGCAAGAGAGAAAGAGTTTAATGCACACAGAACCTACTAAACAGGAGACCAGAATTTTATTATTACTCGAATCAGCCTCCCTGAAAATTCAGAGGCTAGGCTTTTTAAAAGATATTTGGTGGGCAGGGGGTTGAGAGGAAGGAATGCTGATTGGTGGGGTTGGGGATGAAATCATAGGGACTTGAAGCTGTCCTCTTGCACTGAGTCAGTTCAATGTCTGATGAAGAAAAATTACAGCAAGAGAGCACAGAAAAGTTGGTGGAGAGAAATTATCAAAGTCAGGATATGAAAGAAATGTTGAGTTGAGGATCACAAGCCTTCAAATTGAAAGGGGCACAGAGTGGTCGCAATAGTGAATTTTTAGAAAAGTGTCACATTATTATTATTTCATCTGACCAGTAGTAAAGACTCTCTCTCTTTCTCTTTCTTTTTCTTACTTGAGATATGGTCTCACTGTGTTGGCCAGGCTGGTCTCAAACTCTTAGGCTCAAGCAATCTCCAGCCTCAGCCTCCTGAATAGCTGAGATTATAGGCACATGTCACTATGCCCAGTTAGTGAAAATTTCTATAAACTTCTGGGCATGGCAGGTGTGTGTGTGTGAGAGAGAGAGACAGAGAGAGAGAGAGAGAAAAAGGATTTGAATTCGGAATAGCATTGAACTTTTTAATAGCAAAACTGAAAGAAGATAATAATACAATGTCTTCAATATTCTGAGGGACAATGACTTTCAACCAGAATTCTACCCTTAGGCAAACTATTTAATCAAGAGTAAGTATAAGAGAAAGACATTTTCAGAAAACTGAAGACTTTTTTTTTTCACCTCTTACGCACTTTCCTTAGGCAGATATGCCTCAGCAAAAAAAGAAAATTAATCAAGGAAGGGGAAGATGAAATGGCACCTAGGTAACAGATGATTCAACACAGGGAATGGCTGAGGGACAGCTCAGGCATTAATATTCAGCCTCTAGACTGGAGTTGGAGGTCTTTGGGAAGTAATTTGCCAGCAGAAATAAAAAATGGAACTGCTATATTTGATTACATAAAAAATGTGATTGATTTTGGATTATTTGGGGTGGGGGAAGTAAGCATTGTAACATAGAAAATCTAATAAATAAAAAAACAAAGCAAATATTAACTCTAGGAAGAAAAGAAACTGTTGTAGAAGACAGATGTCATCATAATGGACATTTTGGCTCATGAGTGAATCATATTTCATAGTCATAGGGATGTAAATGCTGCTTATTGAGAATAAAAATCATTATATAAATATGTAGGGAGAGCTGTAGGGAATGCTGGTAGAAGAATGGAGCAGGATTGCTAAATCCTCAGCTCTCATGGTAGGTGTCAATAGACAATGTCTAAAATTGACAAATTAGAATTTAGCAATGTAAGCCTATTATTTAGAAACAAAGAGGTTAAAGACAAGGGAAAAAGCTCTATGATCTCAAGAATAGCTTGCAGGAGTGATGCAGGGAAGGGAGAGACAGAGGTTTTTATTATTAGCTTTTTGGTATTATTTGAATTTAAAGCCATGGCACAGTGGCTCACACCTGTAATCCCAATACTTTGGGAGGCTAAGGCAGGGGGATCACTTGAGGCCAGGACTTTGAGATCAGCCTGGGGAACATAGAGAGACCTTGTCTCTACAAAAACAAAAAATTAGCAAAATGTGGTGGTGCTTGTCTCTAGTACCAGCTACTTGGGAGGTTGAGGTGGGAGGATTGCTTGAGCCCAGGAGTTCGAGGCTGCAGTGAGCATGATCATGTCATTGCTCTCCAGCCTGGGTGACAGAGTGAGACTGTCTGAAAAAGAAAGAAAAAGAAATAAAGAAAGAAAGAAAGAAGGAAAAAAAGAAAGAAAGAAAGAAAGAAAGAGAAAGAAGGGAAGGAAGGAAGGAGAAGGGGAGGGAAGGGAGGGCAGGGGAGGGGAGGGAAGGGAAGGGGGAAGGAGAGAGAGAGAAGGAAAAAGAAGAAGAAAGAAAGAAGGAAAGAAAGAAAAAGAAAGAAAGAGAAAGAAAAGAAAGAAAGAAACAAGAAGGAAGGAAGAAAGGAAGGAAGGAGGGAGGGAGGGAGGGAGGAAGTAAGGAAGGAAGGAAGGAAGGAAAGAAAGAAAGGGAAGGGAAGGAAGGAAGAGAGGGAAAAGAAGGAATTGATTCTTGGTCCTACCTCTTTCCATAAATTACAAGACTAAACTGCAGCACCGTCTGATGAGCAACTTCATAAATTCTCTGTTTCAAGGTTTCCAGAGAATTGTTACTTCCCCTCCACCAGCCACACTTTCTGCAAGCCACAGAAAACTCTAGAAATCTCTACTCTTCTTCCCTCAAATCCCCAGTTGCTGCAGGGAGCCCACTTCTAGTTCAGGATTTCATAGTCCTGAGGGGCAAACCCAACGGCAGCATTGAGCCTGACTTGGGCTTGGTGCTTTCTTAGAAGGAGTTTAGTTTCCAGCTGGGCACAGGCACACCTATAGTCCCAGCTAATAAAGGATCTTTTGAGGCCAAGAGTTTGAGTCCAGCCTGGGCGACATAGCGATACCCAGTCTCAAATAAATAAATAAATAAATAAATAAATAAATAAATAAATAGATAAATAAATAAGTTTTTATTTAAAAATAAGGAGTTTAGCTTCCTAATAATGAGGTATTTCTAGCTTCCACTTTGGCGGTATTTGGAGAGCAGAGCTGTGGACTGGAAGTCTGAAGTCAATGTTCTACCCTCTGTCCCTCCCTATTCTTTGCTTTTCTGTTTACACAGCCATGGAGAGAGGAGAGCTTTGCGGAAAGTTGCTCTGTTGAGAGGGACATGCTCACTGCCCTGATCTGATCATTATATAATGTAGACATGAATTGGAACATCACGCTGTACCTCATAAGCATGTACAATTAACATGTCTCAATTATAAACAAAACAAAAAATTAAATTAAAAAATAAAAATAAAATGCTGCTCTGCTGAGTTGAAGAGCTGGACACCTGGGCTCAGGATCTGGTGAGCCGGCCACACCTTGGAGTCTGCTCTGACCTCCATGTAGTGGCACAGGCTGGGTGGAGGAACTATGGATGGCCTTAGTGGCCCATGAAGTGTCTGGTTTACTGACCTGTGGGAAAGCTGGGCTGGACTCAAGGATCAGTCTGGTGGGTTGGATTGGCCCAGCTTGCTCTCCTCTATAACCAGAGGAGTGGGCTGACCTGCAGTGGTCACAGAATCCACTGACTCTCAGACAGCTGCTCTATATTGGGTAAAGCCATCCCTCCCTACCCTGGTTAGTGCCACATTTGATGGTTGCCACCTGGGCCTTGTGGAAAAGCAAGTTGCTTTTAGTTGCTTTCTCCACAGTTGCTTCCTGAAGATGTGACTGACTTCTTTGGATGGTCACCTATGGAGTCTCAGCTTCCCTCTCTGTTGTATGGGAATAACCTAGCACCTTCCTCTCAGAGAGTCTGAATAAGAGATAGTTTCCCCATGTGTTAGATGGGGTTTCACCATGTTGGCCAGGCCAGTATCAAACTCCTGACCTCAGGTGATCCACCTGCCTCGGCCTCCCAAAGTGCTGGGATTACAGGCATGAGCTACTGCGCCCGGCCAGGAGACATCTTTACCTTTGTATGCCACTGTCTTTTTAAATGTATTCAGTGGTGGAAGTTCTTCTCCTGGATAAAAACTTGGAGTGTCCCATAAATTCTCTGCTAATTATTGGATTTAAAAAAATCATGTTGTCTCATTTTTAGCTACAGACACAGTCTCAATTCAGAAATTGTAATAATGAAAGGTTCCAAATTCAGTCAAAGGCGTAGCTCCTCCCTCTCTCTTCCACCTGGGTCCTGCAACAGCCTGGCAGCTTAGAGTGAGAAAGGGGCTGTGAGGGCTTTTTCTGCACTGCCCCAGGGTTGTGTGGTAGGGTGGGGAGGGCCAAGAGGTCTCACCTGCCTGAGCGACAGTGACTGTCATAGGATATCCTCACACCCAGGCAGGCACGTGTTTCAGTGGACATTTTCTCCCTTGGTGTTTTTTTGGTTTCTTTGGTTTCTTCCGAGGCCTTGATGAGGAATGTTTGACTTTTTCCTGTGAAGGAAGAAACAGATGGTTTTTTGTTTTGTTTTGTTTTTCCTGTCTGGCACTTCCCTTGTCAAACTCAGCTTTTCTCCGGCCCTCTTCTCTGTGGGAGAACTCTTTTGTGGGGGCTAAGCAGTCCTCTTGGGCCTGCAGTGACTTGCTCCCTCTGTCCTGGTCCATGTCTGCAGTGCTTGACACCCCTCAAACTTGCATGGCGCCAGCTGTCCCCAGCTGAGGAGCAAACGCTGTTTCTTTTTCTGCAGCTGGCCAACCTGGTTCCACCCTCAGCACCTCCCAGGTGGAGGTGGACTCCAGGCCCCATTTTCTCACTAACTGTAGATGAGACATTTCACTCTCCCTGTTGTTCCTTTGAAATTCCTACCATGCTTTAGAACTTGAGAAAAATCACCCAAATCCATTGTCCTTAGGAGAGAGAGGATCTCTAAAAACACCATTTTCTACCTTTTTATAATGATAAAATGTGGTTATGAATGTGGACCACAGTCCTCTAACAGATTTTCACTCTTACTTTTCAAATTTGCAATTTCTACTGGGACTCAGAATTCACCTTATCATCTGATACCTATTGTATCTAGGTGCCTCAAGTGAAACTTGCCACTTAACAGTGGTCCAATCAGCCTTTTATTTCTAGGGTTTTTAAAAATTAGCCATTCCTGTGCTATTTCATCTAAAGAGGGGAAAGAAAGTTGGGCTAGATTCTCTGACTATCTTTGGGTCTAGGCTATTCAACACAAAGTGGGTAAATAGAGAAGTAGAAGGTACCTGCCTGCGAGGTGGACACTTCCAGCAAGCTCGCCCTCCCTCAGAACAGGGCTGGTTCCTCTCACATGCGATCCTTCCCCCATGGTTGTCCTTAAAGAGGCTTGTTTTCTTTCTAAAGGCCTGATTCCAGTATCCAGCTGTGCAGGTCATTAAGAGTGATCTGCTAAGCCATGAATCAGTGTATGGAAAGAGATTGCAGGACTGGATTGAGGATCCCATGAGCATGGGCTTGTCAAACCCAAAATAATTGAAAGGATCAGAATTTAGTTCTAAAGAGTATTCAAATGCAAGCCATCGGGTAACATAGACTAGCCACCAGGTAACGTAGACTCCAAAGGAACGGGTCAGAGCTCTGAAGTTGAAAGGCTAAGGTCTTGCTTGTATAGGCAGAAAGCAAATAAATTTAACAGGATTGAAACGTTTTCCGTAGAAGGTTGGTTTATGAGTTACAGCAATCTAATTAGTTACAGCTTGCTTTATTTTCCTTTCCCACTTATATATATATATATAATTGATCTATGATGAAAATCAACAGTGAAGAGGGAAGGGGTCTTCTCTGGAACCTTTTGGTCTATTACAATATTTTACAAAACAATGTAGACAAATAAAGGGCTAATCTATGACAGAGGAAAAAAGCTACAGCTGCCTGGGTTATAGCTGCCTGTCATGTGACTCAGGTCTCATCACCGCATTCCTTTAAGACTCAAAATAATTTAAAATTCCAACAGCTTGATTTTGAATTACTTATTTTCACAGGTTTGAATTCTGTATCTGCTCTCACCAGGGTGTAACTTTCAAGGAACTCCTGCCTGTTCTCTCTCAGCCCGGTTTTCACTTTTGTATAATAAGGTCATTAATAGCACCAGTTTCAGGATTCTAGTGAGGATGGCACAAGGCCTCATACATAGTGAGAACCCAGTAAGTGATGGTCGCTTTTGTAACTTACATATGACTCCCACATTCCACCCTTCCCCACCCCCTTGTGATTCTCAAAGAAATAGTGCTTTTTAAGTGGCCATGTCCCAATTAGAATAATGGCTTATGTGCATGATGACATGATAAATCCAGCTCTCTTGGAATTTGCTTCCTTTTCTCATGGGTTGGTTCCAGGGTCCTGGGGTATTCTGAAAGGCTCAGCTGACAAGGTTCTGGCTGGGCTCTGCCTCATTAAGTTAGCTGCCTGAAGACATTAGCAAAGTGTTTCCAGGATGTTCATTACAGCCCCCTCTCCCTCCACATGCTTGACACCCCTCTATTTTCTTAGCGTCTTGCAGCAGCAACAATAGCACCTGCTGGTGACCTTGCTGGGGGCCTCTGAGCCATTTCTGGATCCCTCTCTTTCTAAATGCTCCAGGCTTTGCACATGTGCACGTTATGTTTCTGCTTCTGTGGGGCCACTCTCTGAGCACACTGTCCCATTCCTTAACATACTGTTTCTTCAGAACATTTCAATAGTGTCTCGGGAAGAGATAACAAACACCATTGCAGAGAAGGATCCTAGTTAGGTGTACTGTCAGCGTGGTGGGTTTTTAGGGGTGGGGCAGGAACTGGAAGGAGCAAAATGGAAAGACTATCAGTGGACAAAGAAGATGCAGATGGTGAGGAAGATCCCTCTCCACTCCCTCCATCCCCCCTTCCACCCAAGACTCCTCCTAAAAAAGGGAGTTCAGCTTCCTAATAATGAGCCATTGCTCATGGTGGCTGGAAGAGGTTCCTTCTCTCCTCTTCCCACTCTGGGAAAACATACACTTTCCAAACACTCTCACCCAGAGCACTTTTGATACCAGATGTGTGGGTTTTTTCTGAACCCTGACCAATTCTCCAACAACCAGCTGGGTGCCCTGACAAATGCATATTAAACAAACAGGTATGTAACATACAACCCATGTTCACTTTGGGGTGGAGACTTAACATTGTAAACTAAAAATAAAATTCTAAGGCCCCCTAACCATCTAAATGGACTTCCTCCTCAGCCAGGGCACTCTTAAATGTTAACCTGAAAGACTGGTTCAGGCCATGATGGGAAGTGGGGATCGGACCTGCCTCATTATACCTCTCCAGCATTAAAATCAACACAGACTTTAAGTCTGATAAGAAATATTTTACAACCTATTTTCTCTAAAGCCTACTACCTGAAGGCTTCCTCTGCAAATAAGGACCACCTTCATGAACATTCATAGTTTCTCCTGTAACCTGCTGAACATGTGTGTTTGACTAACCTGTTCCACTTAAATTCCTGTCTTACCTCTCCCTCCTTTGAAGTGCCTGTCTCTGGTCTTTGCTGCAGGCTACATTTCCCAGCCTGCAAGATGGTCACCTTGCAGGGTGTACCCTTTATAAGAAATAAAGTCTCCTTTCCAAAATTACAATTCTGTGATTTTTCAGTTAACACACTTTCCTTACACTTACAGATTTATTGTAAAAGATATTTTTGGGGCTCAGAAATTGATACCCTCAAAAACTGGCACTTTGACATGCTGAGCAGTTTTAAAAGCTGCCCTAGAATCAAAGTTCCTCTAACCATGTCTTGTTTCCCATCTCCACCTCCAGGCGTAAGCAGGGGACTCTCTTTCGAATTTCCTTATCTGACCAAGAGAGCTTCTTTCTAAAAGAAACAGTGTCTTAAACTCCCTTCCTAGAATTTCTTTTTTAACTTAACTTTTATTTTAAGTTCAGGGGTACCTGTGCAAGTTTGTTACAGAGATAAACTTGTGTCATGGGGGTTTGTTGTACAGATTATTTTGTCAACCTGGTATTCCATTAAATAACTAGGAACTATCAACCACTGGAGAAGAGAAGACTGGGAGTCATCACCATGCCCAGACAAATTTTTGTCAATTCTTCTGAGCGCAACTTGAAGAAATTACCTGGGAACTTTATCTGCAAAATCAAACAACTTTTGTCTCTGTGCAGCTCCACCCCCACCTTCCTCTGGGGTTTGCCTCCTGCCAGCCCTAATGATTTACTGCCCTGCAAAAGAATTGTCTACCTATCCTACCTCCTCCTCCCTATGAAAAAGGGTATATGAGCTTCTGTACCACTCCAGGTTCTTGGGCAATCCTTCTTATGTGCTATGCACATTAAAATAAAATTGTGTATGTCTTTTCTCTTGTTCATCTACTTTTTCCCAGTTGATTTTTCAGTGAACCTTTAGAAGGCAAAGGAGAGGTTTTCCTCTGGCTTCTACAACATTACATCTATAAGAGAGGTTCAGAAAGGTCCCAAACACAGGAGCTTCTGTTGTTGTGGAGTTGGGGTGCACCATCCTCCTGGCACATGGATGCTTCACCAGCCAGGAAGCTCATCAAACCTCGGTGTTCAAAGTTTTTGTAGAGCTCAACCTCCCCCAATTTCCCACTCTACCACCAGCCTTCCCAGAGGTCAGAAGGTAGGGTTGAAAGTTCCAACTCCCTAATTGCCTGGTCTTTTTGGTGACTAGCCCCATCCTGAGGCTTTCTAGGGACCCCTTCCTAAGTCCCCTCACCACCATAAACTCAGATGTGATATGAAAGGGGCTCCTATCCTCAGGAAATTCCAAGGGTTTTAGGAGCTCTGTGCCAGGAGCCAGGGGCAAAACCCAAATATTCTTCTTATTGTACCACACCTCCATCAGCCAGGCTTGCTTTTTCTGGTGTCAAAAGCAACTTCTAGCTGCCCTCATTGCTCATTGTATACTAATTATAATACATTTACATAAAGTACCCCCACCAGCACCAAGACAGTTAACAAATGCTGTCACAATGATCTGAAAGTTACCTTATAGGTTTTGGGAGCTCCCCGCCCATTTTCCAGAAAGTTTGTGAATAATGCACCCCTTATTTAGCATACAAATAAGAGCGGGTATAAATACAGCTAGCCAGCAATCCATGAGTGCCACTCTGGGCCACTGTGCCTGTGGGGTAGCCCTGTTCTTTCTATGGAGCTGTCATTTTGCTGTACATTATTTCTCTAATAAATTTGTTTTCTTCACTGTCTGCTCACTCTTGAATTCTTTCCTAAGTGAAGCCAAGAACCCTCCTGGGCTAAGCCCCAATTTGGCAGTTTGTTTGCATCAATTCCCACCCTTGAAATTTTCCTCACTAGTTCAGCTACAATGCTACTGACTCTATGAACAGAGTGGTTGTTGCTATTATTGCTTATGAGTCATCATGAACGTAGTAACAATGGCTTCCCCTCTCCAGGTGGCCAAAAGAGAAATCCAGGAAATAGATTGAATGAGATAATGGATGTAAAAGTGTTTTGTAAGTTGTAAATCAGTATATATATTTGTCATATATATATAATCTATATCTTTATATATCTCAATGGTTGTTGTAGTGTGAAAGTTGTCAGAATCAAAATGGGGTCACTAATATTTAAAAAAATACTGACAAATAGAGCCAGGGAAGGCTATAAAGAGAGGATTCTCACACTTGTATACCTAACAACAAAAACTATCACAAAAATTTTGCCAAAACCATACTTTGTACAAAGGTCTTCACAACCTTACACAAAAGAATACTTCCACAAGGACATCTGCCAAGCAACTGCTTGTCCAACCTCAATTGGTATCACCCTTCTTATTAATCTTTGTAGCCAAGGATAATTATGTCAGAATAATTATGTAATCCCATTTTTTTCCTTTGAAAACCTTTGTCTCCCTTTACCTCCCTGACTACATACATAGTTTACTATAGCACACGTATTCCCATTGCAATGCCCTATTCCTGAATAAACATCCTTTTCTTTGAGAGAGCCTCTCTCTGTTATTTAGGTTGACAGTAGCAAAGGATATTCTTTATCTTTTCTTGTTTACCTCTTCTCTCTGGGCTTCTCTCTGAATAGAAATGAGTTTCTATTCAGCAGTGCTGTGGATGGACTAAAAGCTTTACAGGTGCAACTCACCTCATGGAGTAGATGGCAGGGTAGGAAATGAAGCTGTGATATAGACCATCCATGGTGCATAATAGATACTCAATGAATATTTGTTGCATGAATAAGTAGAGAAGAACAGAAATGTGTTTCATGAGAGGCACAGATATGGGCTTGAAAGCTTTAACATTCCAATGCTTGCCAGGCAGATGCCACCAAGACAAACCTGGCTGAGCAGAAGATGCTGCAGACAAAGCTCTCCACTCGGCAGCACTGGTGTCAGAGTACTTCAATTTGAGGTGTGGACATTGGGCCCAAGCTGACTGGGCAAAAGCACTCTAACTATAAGCAAGTTACTCCATACAAAAATTTGATTGAAATTCCAGCTTAAATTTAAAACTACAACAAAAAAGAGAATCCCATTAGTGTTGTGTGTATGTGTATGTTTTTAACAAATACCCACATTTGGTA